>NC_000007.14:86446172-86749203 GCF_000001405.40 Homo sapiens
TTCTATCAATTCTGTAACCCAAATAGCTATTTAATCTGTTTCGTTCTCTTTAACTTCATTGCCGAAATTTTGGTTTAGACCCTCGTTGCTAATTTATTGGGATTTTTAAATAACCCTCCACATTGTTTCTACATCCAATATTGCACAATTTCAATTTATTCTCCAAATTGTCTCCAGTATGTTCTGTCTGAAATTCAAAGCTAATTTTATCACGTCACAGCTTGAAATCTACCAATAGTACCACCAACCATTCTGGACAAGATCTTACTATAGCATTTGGGATTCTTCATGCTCTTTCTCCACTTTTACCCACAGATATACCACCATTTCATCTTCCAATTTCCCAAACTGCTTCTACAGGCACCATATTACCTAAAACCACTGCTACTTCTCATGTTTTTGTTTTTCATATTGCTGTGCTCCCAACAACTGCCTAACTTTCTTCATCCCTGTAACCCAAAGTTACACCTCTGAGGACCACCAAAAGCCATAAGCTGCTACACATGATACCTCTTAGCTCCTATTTAATTCATGTACATCATATGAGAAAAAGAATTGTCAGAAGAATACAAATAGAACCAGAAGCCTAATAGATAATGGAAACAAATGAAGTGCAGAATCTTTCAAGGGAAGGACTAATCAAAAGTGTTATAGTAGGTCAGGTGTGATGGTTCACACCTGCAATTCTAGCACTTTGGGATGCCAGGGCAGGTTGATCCCTTGAGCCCAGGAGTTTGAGACCAACCTGGGCAACATGATGAAACCCCACCTCTACAAAAAAGTATAAAGATTATCCGGGCATTGTGATGCACACTTGTAGTCCTAACTTATCGGGAGGGTGGTAGGAGACTCGCCTGAGCCCAGGGAGGTTGAGGCTGCAGTAAGCCATGATTGCACCATTGCACTCAACCCTGGGCAACAGAGCGAGACCCTGTGTAAAAAAAATAAAATAAAATAAAATAAAAATAAAAAAATAAAAAAGTTTCACAGTAGGAAGACTCAGTTGGATAAGAATGACATTTTTTATGTTGGATTTAGCTATTAGCAAGAATGAAGGGTACTATAGTAGCCCATTTGCAGAAGGTTAAGCAGTAAGTGGAAAGTGGGACACGACATTAAATACAAACAACTCTCCTGAGTAGCATAGATGAGTCAGAACAGAAAGAAGTAGTGAGGTAGCTAGAGGAGACATACAAAGGAAGAATTTTCTCGGGATGGGATACCAGTAGAATTAGGAGACAGATTGATTAGAGCTGCTAGAGGGGCATTACAGTCAAACGTAATTTTTTAAGTGGGTGGAGGTCTGAGACAGTGGAATGGTAGAAAGAAATACAGTGGCTGAGAAACTCATGCTTTTCCAGGAAAGGAGGGAATATAGGAGACAAATTTAGGCTTAGGCATGTAGAATTCATAGTGAGAGTAGGCCTGGGAAGTAGAAATATCCTACAGATTTGAAAACATTGGTGTGATAATAGATGAAAGGTCAAACTTGACCTTTTGTAAATCACATACTTTGATTTCCTAAGAAAACAAGACCAAGAAACTATCAAATTGTTCTCAGAAGGATGAAGCGCAGAGTTGCATTTATCAACTTCCAATCTATTTTCAAAACAGTATTTTTAATATGATTTTACCAACTATCCTTGACAAAAACATTTTACCACATAAAATGAATTTTCTGTCTTTAAAAATTGTGAATGATCTACAAAACTAAGTTTAAATAATGTGGAGAGCTGGACAATGTGCAAGCTATGTAAATATATATAAAGAGACAAAGAGCCACAGTAAATTCTCAAAAGAAAGAAAGAAGGAGAAAGAGAGAGGGAAGGAGTGGCATAGAAAAAGATAGAGAGAGAGAAAAAAAAAAGGAGGAGGAGGAGGGGGAGGGAAGGAAAGAAAATCATTTTTCTTTTTTTTAAATTTGGAGATGTAGAATGATCTTTCCTCTCTGGGGTCATCCAATTTCTTTGAAATTAATTTTCCCTTGGCAAAATCAACCTAAAAATATTGAGATTCCATTCCTGATTTGTATGTATTTTTTGAAGATTCACTAGATGTTGCTTATAGGGCAAATGGTCACCTTAGCTAAAGTTATTCTCTATGTATAAATTATGAGTCTATATACAGACACAAATAAAATTAAATGCTAGCTATAACATTGCTTTAAGGGAATATTATTTCTAAGAGTTCAGCATTATTTCTAATTAAACTATTTTTCCTGAAATCAAGTTTTTAGAGGTTCTGTAGATTTCTTTTGCCTAAGAAAAATTTAAAACTCTGTGTTGTTGGCTGAGTGCCTCTCACCTTACACTTTTAGCTTGAAGCAGCTTTTTGTTACAAATACTTAGGGTTGGTGTACATAACATCTTTGAAATACTTTACTAAGTTTTTCTACACAATTTTGACTTTATCTTCTTAGAGGCGTAATAAAAAGGGATATGGATAGCCACATAGCCCATTGCCCTAGTAGCACTTCTGCATATGTTGTTAAAAAATGTGTGCATGGGTTTACATCAATAATCCATATGATGTTTGAATGTTCAAAGGAGTTCCACAATCAGGTGGCCAAACATCCTGATAGGACTTCTTTTTCTGTTTAACTCACTGATTGATATTAGAAAAATACAATGAGTCCATGACATTAGAAAAAATATATATATACAAGGAAAACTACTTTTTTGATGCTCTGATTATGACACTTCAAACATTGCAGAAGGGCACTGCTTACGTTTTAACTTTTAGTTTTACGTCCCTTTACAAGTTTAGTTTTTCCCTTATTCATGCCGTCATCACTTTAGTTTATCATTGTTACTAAGCCCTGGAAATAGACCAGCAGCTTTGGACTTGCAGGAACCATTTGAGCAATTACTAGTTGACAGATGGGGGAAGCACTTACAGCTCTCTGGTGGCCTGTGTGAAATGCATCAGTAGCCTCCATCTAGACTGGTGAATAAGTGTCCACATCAAGAAAAATATGCCATTTCAATTTATGCTAATAAGTCTCAGAAATATATAACCTGAATGAGAGAGTTCTAGTTCATTGTCTTTCCTTACTTTGTGATAAATTTTCTTTGCACACATTATAACTATGAATTTTTTATCTTTTGTAAAAATTGTAATCCAGTTCTGGCAATAATTAACATGGATAGAGACCAACTAGCTATTTTACGATGCACACTGCTATGGTTAGATCAACTAAGGAGAATATAATAAAGTTCAGGAAGTCACTCTTTGTACATAGAATCAAGAAAAATAAAATCCTGTATTAGAGAATGCAGGATGGTGGGGGGAAAAATTATCACTTTGTATAAAAAACAAAGAAATAGGATTGGTCAGAAAATTATCCCAGATGCAGATTCTATCTGACAATTTTGTTGAAAAATTAAGTTCTGAAACTTTAGCTTCCTTTTGTATTTTTAGACCCAACCATTACCTTGGAAAGCAAATTGATTGGTACCCAAAGCAATGTGTTTCAAGCATCGATAATTGGGGCTAAGGAAAATCTTAGGGCTACATAGAGGATGGCAGAAAAACACCACACATAACTATTTGTGAATTTGGATACTGGCAACAAATGTCTGAACAATTCATTAAAATAGGCAAAAATAATGGATTATCTCATAGATCAATACCCAGTCAAAATAATTAATTTATATAATTATCTCAATATTGCATTTTATTTTGCATAGTTCAATACAATTCTCTGTAATACTTTCCATTTACATGGCTTCTGAGATTTTACCTTTTTTCAAAGGTGTTTTTCTAACTATCCAATTTAAAAAGTAGCTCCCCTCCATAGGGAGGTTATACTTTATCGTTTATTTTCTTCATAGTTGTTAAATTTATCTGAAATATTATCTATGTATTTGTCAACTTGGTTTTTGTCTATCTCCCTGTGATAATGAAAGCTTGATGACAACAGAGACCACATCTATCTTATTCATCCCTATAATATCCCTGTATTCATCTGTCTTATTCAGGCCCTGGATAAAGGTCTGCCACATGGAAGATGCTCACAACTTTGTTTAATTAACATATGACATAACAGTTGTTTACTTTGATACAAGCTTACCAAATTTTGATGAAAATGTTTAAAATGTATGCATTTCAGCTGCATAGGTAAAACTTATTTTACCTTCCCCCAAAACATCTGAGTCACTAAAATAATCAAAAGAAAGAGAAAATGCATAAATTTATCACTTTGCCACTCCAGTAAATTATTCCGTGTTCATCTTGTAATGTGTTGGAGTTAACCTGTCTCTGAACAAGATATACATTCGCTTTTGATATGTGTGGATGTAGGGAGTGTTTTTGTCAGGCACTGACACCATTTGGGAGGTTATCTTCTCCAGTACTTAATATTATCTTAATATGCTACTGCAACTTTACTGTGGTTAATATCACCCCAACACCACTGACCTGTAACAGCATATAAGAGAAGAAAAACATTAGTATTGATGAAACCTGACCTCCTTAAAAGCTAGTGATGTAACAGTCTCAAGATGTGTGATACTGATTTTTGTATGGAACTTGCTTTAGTGAATTTATTCTTTTTAAATGAGATTTAGCACCATAAATCACTCTAAGTTTTGTCAAATAGAAAATTAGGTCAGAAATAAAGTCAAAACTGAAAGAGAAAGTATTTAGAATGTCATTTGTGTCCGTTTAATATTTAAATTCTCAAACATAATCAGAAGTTTTACCTTCAGAAAAGCCGCTGGAAAGACCTTGAGCTTTCTACCCAACTGCTCACATTTCCAGGAGGAAGAAGGAATCCAAAAACGAAGGGAAGGTAGAAATGCAGGCAGTAATTTAGTCAGCTGTGCTAAAGGAGTTACAAAGTGCACACAGGTGGAAGGGATTATTGCCTTTGCGAGGGTGATTTCACAGGAGGTCCTGATCCACTGCCGCCCACCACCTCAATTGTTTTCATCTGTTGAGTGATGCTAGCATTTTCATTCCTATTAGCTTAAGTCTCTGCTCCAGGTTGATAACAATAATAAACATATCTGGAGGAATTATGACCTGAATTTCACTAGGTAACCTTATTTATGAAAGAGGAAAGAATATACAAGAGAAACTTGGATGGGTTAGGTGGATGATAAAGTGGCGAGTGCAGCTTGAAAGACCATTTGACACATTCACAGTGTGTCAACTTATTCTCTCTTTGCCTTCTCTAAAGCCAAGCAAAGAAGAAAGCTCCAGGAATGCTTTTCACCTGTTTTGTTCTCTACTATGTGTAGGTCTGCCTTTAAAAGTGAAAGGTAATAGATTGATGGGGCAGAGAGAGAATCAGGTTTAATCATAAACAGAACTTCAAAATAGTTGAATCTTTTCTTTAGCACCTCTGACTTCCTTCTTGTGACTGAGAATACCCTCTTGTTTTATCCATCCATCTTATTCTCCCTTTCTGCTCAACCCAAACCTCTGGGGTCAGAAATGATTGATGATCCACCCGCTACAATACATCTTCCAGGGATGTATAAGGAGAAAATGGAATTAACATTTTAGTAGACATTATAATCTAGGTGTTTTATATATGCCATATTATGTAATCACCAAAATAAATTGATGAATTAAGTGTTATACCATTTCACAGATAAGAAAACTGAGGTTTTATAATCTGTTCTTCATTACTCAGTTTCTGATCTGCATTCAGGTGCTATTTTTTTCTGACCTTAAAACCTGCTTCTCTTCTATGTATTGCACTGCCTCTCCTTCTATCTCCTTATCCAGACTTACCCTCAGTTGGCCAAACAATTGGATTAACTAGATCCACCAAAGCCTGAATAATGAATCAGACTTATGTTCTCCCTCCATGGAATACATATATTTACATAAGAGAAAACATCCTTAACTAATGAAGGATTTCCTAAGGTAAATTTTCTGGGCTAAGTATTACTTTTCCAGTGGAGTGACTTTGAGGCTGAATGCCTCACTGGCTTCATTTAGCAGGTCATGGCTCTCAAATAGTCAAATATAGTTAGTCCAAAAAGACAACTAAGCATTGTACTACACTTTTTTTGTGATTGTTACTGGCAGGATTTGAGGCAGCTGCTGTAATATTTGGATTTGAAGCAGTTGCTATAACATTGTTTGCTGGAGGGATTGGGTCCATTCTTAATAAATGTGTTTGTCATGTTTCTAATTTTCTTTCTGCACTCTTCAAATGCTGTTGCTTTCAAAGTTTAAACTGAGATAAACTCAGTTTGGTGTTATTGGCACTGTAGTTTCACGTAGGATATCTAGAGAGTGGAGAAGCAACATGAATTCCTGGCAAGAACAGACTTTTCCAAATGAACTGCTTTAGTTAAATGTCAGAGAGTAATACATTTACCTATCTCGTAGCTACTTACTCATGTTCATATGGTGTTAATGCTAGCATCTCACTGGGCAGTTTGTCTAGAGCAAACAGCTTCACATAAATCATGTAGTATAAGAATAAAGGCGTCAAGCTTCAAAGCCGAACTTTCTGAATTTGAATCCCACTCTGTTAACTAGTAGCTTTGTGGACTAGATTAACTCAAGTAACTTCCTTTGCTTAGATTTTGACTGTATGAAAAGGGAATAATTACAGTGTCCACCTCATTACTCATATGATTAAATGGGCAATGCATATTAAGTGCATAAAACAGTACCTGACATATTGTGTTAACTATATGTGAAATTGCTTTGTAATTCACATAGCACTTTCTGAAACATGTGATGTTATTGTTTTGCATCACATGGGGCAAGAGAGGACTTCTTGTCCCCTTTTTTAGGATGAGAAATCAGGATTCATGTGAAGCTAATAGAAGACCTGTGTGATTGACCCTGCATTCAATCCCTAAATAACAAAGTAGGTAATATGCAAAGAAAGTGGTGCTCACCAATTGCATAAAGTGGTGTTAATGGCAGTGAATGTGTATGGGTCTACAGCAACCTCAATTCTTGCCTCCTCAGAAAAAAGAATTCAACCAAGGGGGCATAAGGCAGAGTGAGAGACTGTGGCAAGTTTTAGAACAGGAATGAAAGGAAGTAAAGTATACATGGAAGACAGTCAAGCGGGTAACTTGAGAGATCAAGTGCACAGTTTGACATTTTGATTTCGGGTTTTATATGTTGGCATGTCTCTGGGGTCTTGCATTACTTCTCCCTTGATTCTTCTTTTTGGGTGGGCTGTCCGCATATGCAGTGGCCTGCTAGCGCTTGGGAGTGGGGCATACACAGTGTGTTTACTGGAGCTGTATACATGCTCACTTGAGGACTTTCTCCTTACCAGTCAAATGCTCCTAAGAAGGTCATATACCAGTTAAACTCTGACATTTTGTCTTTTAGTGTACATGCTGGAGCCCATTCACCCAACTCCTGAGATCTTATTAGGAAGCGCCTGATCACTAGCTTCAGGTTTTTTCTATCTATTGGGAGGCTGCCTTTCCTGGTGCTGGCTGCAACCAATTATTTTAGACAGGCAATTAACAACCACTTGACCATCACCTGTTGGTGGCCTGACATTCCTGGTGGGGGAGGGTGCTCTCTCCTGCCCTGCTCATGTCTGCCTAACTACCCACTGCAACAGTGGAAGACTAGGAAAAAGAGATGCTGGACCACTGAAGGTAACATGAGAATTCAATATTGCTTCTCATAACCAAAGAAAAGAAAATTCTGTAAGAACTCAGGGAAGATAATGAAACTAAAAAAAAAAAAAAATGCTAAATGGGTCATTAGAAACAGTGGGTCACAATGATACAATGTAATAATTTAGAAGCTATCTTAACAACAAAAGTGATAAAGGCAAACTTAAGAATTATTATAGACAAAAGCAAGAATATGGTTGAGCATATAGCTGTTTTATATTAGTTTAACTTGCTGAGCATGGTGGCTCATATCTGTAATCTTAGGGCTTTGGGAGGCCAAGACTGAAGGATCACTTCAGCCCAGGAGTTTTTGAGACTGCAGTGAGCTATGATTATGTCACTGCACTCCAGCCTGGGCAACAGACTAAAAGTCTGTCTCTAAAATAAATAAATAAATAAATAAATAAATAAATAAATATAAATAAATAATGAGCCTGCCATGGTGGCTCATGCCTGTATTCCCAACACTTTGGGAGGCAAACGCTGGCAGATTGCTTGAGTCTAGGAGTTCAAGACCAGCCTGGGCAACATGGTGAAACCCTGACTCTACAAAAAATACAAAAATTAGCTGAGCATGGTGATGTGCGCCTGTAATCGCAGCTACTTGGGGGACTGAGGTGGGAGGATCACTTCAGCCCAGGAGGTCGAGGCTGCAGTAAGCCATGATGGTGCTACTGTACTCCAGCCTGGGTGACAAAGCAAAAAACACTATATCAAAATAAATAAGTAAATAATAAAAATAAAATTATATATAATAATATATATAATATTCATTGTATGTAACAAATTATGTATTTATATGTAATATTTTATATATAATATACACTTTAGATATATCTGTGTGTATATATTATTTAAAGTTTAACTGAGCATTACAGTAGAGCAAGTAAAATTTTGAAGTACCAAGCTAAACTTTGAAAGTGACCTTTTCTCCAGATGTATCAAGACATGATCAACAAAAGTACAGGCAATAACACTCTCTCATTGTCAGCGGGGAAAAATTTACCAGCTAACGGCTTGAAAAGGGAGGTATGGAATGTAGAGAAAAGCAGCAGAAAAAGAGGAAGAAAAGTTCCAGAGACAAGTTCATCTACATACAAAAATGAGTTTCACTACCACTGCTCCTTCATGCCATCCACCACCCATGAATCCCCAGAGACACTACCATGGACTACTATTTCAAAACAATCTATCTGTTATGCAAACCAAAGACAGGAAGCTTTTACCAAATCTCTAGATTTTAAAATGAAAATAGATGAGAAGAGGTAAAATTAAGGAACATTCCAGGATAGCTGACCATTAGTAGAGATCTCTGCTCAGGGACTGACCACAAGTTGACCCTCAGCCTCACATACATTTTCCCATGTAAACTGAAAAATTTAATATGTTCTATTACACCACTGGAATGGTCTCAATTCAAAATGTATTTGTGATATTAAACATCTCCTTCTAAAAATGAAAATGCCTCCGGGAATGTGAGGAAATTTGCCTCTAAATATTTAGCAGAGAAGAACCACTAAAAAACTGCTAAATATTTAGCAGGAGAATTGGAGTTCTTTTTAAGTAGGATGGAGGTAAATAACTTAGAAGGAAAGTAAGTTTTAGGGGACAAGTGAGATCTCAGCATGAGGTGCAGTGAGGACATAGAGCAACAGAACAACACATGCTGGGTGCCTGGGGAAGTAGAAGAAAGAAGAAAGGGAAATACGAAAGCACCACAGTTTAATTTTGCCTAAATTTTAACTTTTGCTTTAGATTCTTGTCCCGAGAAAGTAAAGAAACTCTTTTCCTTTGCTACTCTATTGTAAATTGCATGGCCCCCAGAACTTGGATTAGATTTGGAAATTAATATTTTATTTTGATTGCTCATTATCAGTTAACAGGCATCTGAGCACTCTTTTCAAACCTAGTAATGAAGATTTTTTGGAGAACATGTTCCCAACATCTTAGATCTTTCCTGTCCCATGAAGAATAAACCTTCTGAAAAAGACTGCAGTCATAAATATAGGACAAAATGTAAAAACTAAGAGGTAATTTATAATTTTTAGAAGTGGTCAGTGCCTAGATTCTACTAGATTCTACCTCCTGGGAGAGAGATTGAGAACGCACAGGAGTAAACAGCATTAAGAAGCTGGAAACTGGGGACATTTCCAGGAAAAGGGTAGAGTAAAGTGATCATGTGAAACTTCTGCCAGATATTAATTATCAAATAAATCTAAAGGAAAATATAAAAAAGAAAAACTAAAGTCACTAAAGCTTTTTTTTAGGAAGCTAGGGAAGAGCTTACTCTTAACAAACTGCAACTAGAATGAAGAAAAATTAACACAGTTTAGAGAACTGTGGGTTAACATATAAAGACACAAGCCATCGCAGAAAGGAAAGAACAAAAGGTGAGCTCTTCAACTACCACAGCTACAGGGATAGGAAAGGGAGCATTTGAAAACCTCAACTTTACAGCTCAAGGTGACAGAGAACAGAGTGCGGGGCTGGCAGAACATCTGGAAATTTAAAGAAAAAATACTGCCAACAAAAGAAGCAAAGAAATGAGACCCAAAATTTAAGTATAAATTCTGCCCATATCCCTAGCTGACAGCTAAATTACTCACGCTTGGGAAGGAACTTATGAAGCATGGTGAAAAATTAGGCAAAACCAAAGAGGACTCTACTATTGAAAGAGAAAGACAGGAGAAAATTGTGAGTTTAGTGCTTTAATAACTCAGTATATTTCACTAAACATTAATTAGATGGCTAAAATTTAAAGACTGAAAATTCTATGCATTACTAAGAATGCAGAACAAATAACATTCTCATACATTGCTGGTGGGATGTATATTTGTCCTGCCACTTTGGAAAGGAATTTGGCAATCTTAAATTTAAATGTACAATTATCATATTACCATACAGTAACACTCATGTTTATCTGAGAAAGATGAAAACATATGTCTGTACAAAGATCTGTATTTGAACATTCATAGTAAGTTAATCATTAATCATAACAGTTCAAAACTGAAAATAATCCAAATGTCCATCAATCTATGAATGGACAAAACAAATTGTAGTTTTATATATATATATATATGTATATACATTTTTTTTTTTGAGACAAAGTCTCACTCTGTCACCCAGGCTGGAATGCAGTGGCGCAATCTCGGCTCACTGCAACCTCTGCCTCCTGAGTTCAAGTGATTCTCCTGCTTCAGCCTCCCAAGTAGCTGGGATTATAGGCAAGTGCCACCATGCCTGGCTAATTTTTTTTTTTTATACTTTAAGTTTTAGGGTACATGTGCACAATGTGCAGGTTAGTTACATTTGTATACATGTGCCATGCTAGTGCGCTGCACCCACTAACTCGTCATCTAGCATTAGGTATATCTCCCAATGCTATCCCTCCCCCCTCCCCCCACCCCACCACAGTCCCCAGAGTGTGATATTCCCCTTCCTGTGTCCATGTGATCTCATTGTTCAATTCCCACCTATGAGTGAGAATATGTGGTGTTTGGTTTTTTGTTCTTGTGATAGTTTACTGAGAATGATGATTTCCAATTTCATCCATGTCCCTACAAAGGACATGAACTCATCATTTTTTATGGCTGCATAGTATTCCATGGTGTATATGTGCCACATTTTCTTAATCCAGTCTATCATTGTTGGACATTTGGGTTGGTTCCAAGTCTTTGCTATTGTGAATAATGCCGCAATAAACATACGTGTGCATGTGTCTTTATAGCAGCATGATTTATAGTCCTTTGGGTATATACCCAGTAATGGGATGGCTAGGTCAAATGGTATTTCTAGTTCTAGATCGCTGAGGAATCGCCACACTGACTTCCACAATGGTTTAACGAGTTTACAGTCCCACCAACAGTGTAAAAGTGTTCCTATTTCTCCACATCCTCTCCAGCACCTGTTGTTTCCTGACTTTTTAATGATTGCCATTCTAACTGGTGTGAGATGGTATCTCATTGTGGTTTTGATTTGCATTTCTCTGATGGCCAGTGATGATGAGCATTTTTTCATGTGTGTTTTGGCTGCATAAATGTCTTCTTTTGAGAAGTGTCTGTTCATGTCCTTTGCCCACTTTTTGATGGGGTTGTTTGTTTTTTTCTTGTAAATTTGTTTGAGTTCATTGTAGATTCTGGATATTAGCCCTTTGTCAGATGAGTAGGTTGCAAAAATTTTCTTCCATTCTGTAGGTTGCCTGTTCACTCTGATGGTAGTTTCTTTTGCTGTGCAGAAGCTCTTTAGTTTAATTAGATCCCATTTGTCAATTTTGTCTTTTGTTGCCATTGCTTTTGGTGTTTTGGACATGAAGTCCTTGCCCATACCTATGTCCTGAATGGTAATGCCTACGTTTTCTTCTAGGGTTTTTATGGTTTTAGGTCGAACGTTTAAGTCTTTTATCCATCTTGAATTGATTTTTGTATAAGGTGTAAAGAAGGGATCCAGTTTCAGCTTTCTACATATGGCTAGCCAGTTTTCCCAGCACCATTTATTAAATAGGGAGTCCTTTCCCCATTGCTTGTTTTTCTCAGGTTTGTCAAAGATCAGATAGTTGTAGATATGCGGCGTTATTTCTGAGGGCTCTGTTCTGTTCCATTGATCTATATCTCTGTTTTGGTACCAGTAACATGCTGTTTTGGTTACTGTAGCCTTGTAGTATAGTTTGAAGTCAGGTAGTGTGATGCCTCCAGCTTTGTTCTTTTGGCTTAGGATTGCCTTGGCAATGCAGGCTCTTTTTTGGTTCCATATGAACTTTAAAGTAGTTTTTTCCAATTCTGTGAAGAAAGTCATTGGTAGCTTGATGGGGATGGCATTGAATCTGTAAATTACCTTGGGCAGTATGGCCATTTTCATGATATTGATTCTTCCTACCCATGAGCATGGAATGTTCTTCCATTTGTTTGTATCCTCTTTTATTTCGTTGAGCAGTGGTTTGTAGTTCTCCTTGAAGAGGTCCTTCACATCCCTTGTAAGTTGGATTCCTAGGTATTTTATTCTCTTTGAAGCAATTGTGAATGGGAGTTCACTCATGATTTGGCTCTCTGTTTGTCTGCTGCTGGTGTATAGGAATGCTTGTGATTTTTGCACATTGATTTTGTATCCTGAGACTTTGCTGAAGTTGCTTATCAGCTTAAGGAGATTTTGGGCTGAGACAATGGGGTTTTCCAGATATACATCATGTCATCTGCAAACAGGGACAATTTGATTTCCTCTTTTCCTAACTGAATACCCTTTATTTCCTTCTCCTGCCTACTTGCCCTGGCCAGAACTTCCAACACTATGTTGAATAGGAGTGGTGAGAGAGGGCATCCCTGTCTTGTGCCAGTTTTCAAAGGGAATGCTTCCAGTTTTTGCCCATTCTGTATGATATTGGCTGTGGGTTTGTCATAGATAGCTCTTATTATTTTGAAATACGTCCCATCAATACCTAATTTATTGAGAGTTTTTAGCATGAAGGGTTGTTGAATTTTGTCAAAGGCTTTTTCTGCATCTATTGACATAATCATGTGGTTTTTGTCTTTGGCTCTGTTTATATGCTGGATTACATTTATTGATTTGCATATATTGAACCAGCCTTGCATCCCAGGGATGAAGCCCACTTGATCATGGTGGATAAGCTTTTTGATGTGCTGCTGGATTCGTTTTGCCAGAATTTTATTGAGGATTTTGGCATCAATGTTCATCAAGGATATTGGTCTAAAATTCTCTTTTTTGGTTGTGTCTCTGCCAGGCTTTGGTATCAGAATGATGCTGGCCTCATAAAATGAGTTAGGGAGGATTCCTTCTTTTTCTATTGGTTGGAATAGTTTCAGAAGGAATGGTACCATTTCCTCCTTGTACCTCTGGTAGAATTCGGCTGTGAATCCATCTGGTCCTGGACTCTTTTTGGTTGGTAAACTATTGATTATTGCCACAATTTCAGGTCCTGTTATTGGTCTATTCAGAGATTCAACTTCTTCCTGGTTTAGTCCTGGGAGAGTGTATGTGTCGAGGAATTTGTCCATTTCTTCTAGATTTTCTAGTTTATTTGCACCCTGCTAATTTTTGTATATTTTGCAGAGATGAGGTTTCGCCATGTTGGCCAGGCTGGTCTCAAACTTCTGACCTCAGGTGATCCATCCTCCTAGGTCTCCAAAGGTGCTGGGATTACAGGTGTGAGCCACCACGCCTGGCCTATAGTAATTTTTTTATACAAAGAAATACTGCTAAGTAATATTAAATGATTGAACAGCTGATACAGCAACAACATGGACGTATCTCAAAATCATTAAGCTGATTTAAAGAGCCCAGATACAAGAGTATACACTGTATTATCCCATTTGTATGAAATTATAGAAAATGCAAACTAATCTATAGTGACAGAAAACAGATCAGTAGTTTTCCATGTTGGGTTGGGAGAGGTGGACAGCAAAGTGAAATATAAAAATTTCTGGAGTGGTGGAATTGACCTATATCCTGACTAGGTTGGTTATTACACAGGTATTTACATTTGTCAAAACCCATCAAACTGTACACTTAAAATGGGGCCGTTTACTGTCTATGGATTATGCCTCAGTGAAGTTGACACAAAAAGGTAGCTAGTGACTTCTAGTTAATAGCAGTGACTCAAAAGTTGTTTTTTATATGTCTTTAAACAATTCTTTATATAATCCAGTTATTTTGTAAAATAGCAAACCCAACAATGCTTGTGACTAAAAAGCCGAAATGTAAGATCAAGTGAGATTGGAGCAGTTCTTGCTTCTCCATTTCCCCTCCATTTGTGTGTGCAGTTTTCCTCCTCTTGCCCCCTCCTCCTACTCTCTCCCCACACATCTGATACTTAAAAATCCTTACCACTTGAAAGTTGTTTATACAGTTTAAAATTTCAGTACATAAAAGCTTGGGTTCTTTATAGAAAATATCCTTAAGAAATGAGTGAATAAATATTGTGAGGGTGGCCGGGAGTGGTGGCTCACACCTGTAATCCCAGCACTTTGGGAGGCCTAGGAGGGAGGATTACCCGAGATCAGGAGTTCCAGAGCAGCCTGGCCAACATGGTGAAACCCCTTCTCTACTAAAAAATACGAAAATTAGCCAGGAGTGGTGGTGGGCGCCTGTAATCACAGCTACTCAGGAGGCTGAAGTAGGAGAATCACTTGAACCTGGGAGGCGGAGTTTACAGTGAGCCAAGATTGCACCACTGCACTCCAGCCTGGGTGACAGAGCAAGACTCCATCTCAAAAAAAAAAAAAAAAGAAAGAAAAAGAAAAAAAGAAAAAAGAAATATTGTGGGGGCAAGAGAGATGATAAATAAAAATGAAATTTTAAGCCTCCTAAATGACTGAACAGACTCCCTCTTGGCCAAGGGGACCCCAGAGTAGTCTTGAAAATTGAGCTCTTGACAATGACAGAATGAGAGGTCAGACACACCTAACAGAAACCAACACTAAACAGAAACCAGCCCTTGTGAAAGACTCCATCACTGATAGCAACCAACCCCTGACACTGTCCCCTCCCTTCAGCAGTTTGGACACAGTTGACCAGCATTCCTTCCCAATAAGAGACCACTGACCACAGAGTGGTTCTGGTCAATCTACATGCTACATATGAGGGGCCATGAAGCTCCATTGTGCATGTTCATGTTTCTTCTTCCAAAAATATTCATGATTTCTCCTATAGGTTATTAAATGTAGATATTCAGCCACCCTGCTCAGCATGAATTCCTATTCCTCACCTTCCTCCTCCACTGCCCCCCCACCCCCACCTTCCAATTGACTGTTTCAGGTTTTTGGCAAGGAGCTATGCTTCTCCGCCTGTCAGAATGTCCACCATGCAGGTTGCAACCCTTTATGAAAAATAAATCTCTTGTTTCCAAATTTATGAACCTTGACATTCTTCAATTGACAGAGGAAAAGATTTTGTTTGTTTTTATTTTGATATATATAGAAGGGACTTTAGAGATCACGTAGTCCACCATGGTGAACTGTCAGATCCATTGCCTTCCTCCTCTATGAACAGAATCATAATTTTATTTGGTAGGACATTACTCTTAAATGAAATCCAACAAATAAACAAACAATAATTCCACTCCAATATCCACTCCCTTGAACTAGCAGTGAGCATATGGCACAAGTAATGACATATAAGCAGCAATGACTGGGCAGCGCCTACGGGAAAATCTAAAGCAGCTGATACAACTTTTATTCTACACTCTTCCTTGTCTTGTTTCCTTAAAGAGAGACATAAAACTGGAGTCAGGAAAGCCATCTTGCAACCACTAGGTTATAAGTATAAAAGCAAAAGTATAAGAGCAACTCCAAGGGTGAGGGATTAGAAAGCTAAGTGGAGCCTAAGTCCTGATGGCTTCCTGGGGCTACCAAGCCCACCCTGTATTTTCTAGTTCTGAAATTTTTGTTACTCACAAAACAAAACAAAACACCTTATTTGCTTAAGCCACTGTCTATTTAATTTTATATGCCACTGAATCTATTCCTAAATGATACAATGATACCTGCATCCCCTTCATCTCCTTTTACAGATAAGAGAATGAAGGTAAAGGAGGTTAAGTAGCTTCCTTCACTAAGTTCTACCTCTACTTAAATGATCCAGTTCTGCAATCCAGTTCTATTGACTCACAATACCATAACATATTTTCCAATAAAAAAAAAGTTCATAGAAGAGAAACTGGTGCGATAAATTTATTCATTCAACCATGCAAGTCTAGAAAAGCTAAAAAAAAATACTAGCATTAACGCCTTGAATTATATATAGATGCTTACATTTGAAGAATTTCATTGTGTGTTGAGTAGTGGATTTGCAGTAAAAAGATACCTAATAGGAATTAAAAATACTAAAAATTCAAATACATGTCTTCTTGAGCTAAATTGAAATTGAAATAGCAAGAAAAGAAGAATTGAAGTGTTCCCAATCCACACAGAAAAGAGAAATGTTTGAGGTGATTTTTATCCCAGTTACCCTGGTTTGATCATTACACATTGTATACATGCATCAAAATATCACATGTACCCCAAAATATGTACAACTATTATGTATCAATAAAAAACTACACCAAGAAAGTGGATTTAAAATATATCATCATGTTGGACAGAAGACTCAACATAATTAAAATATCTGTTCTGGCTTGTTAATTTAGAATCCTGTAAAAATAAATATTGAACAGCTAGATAGGTCTATTATAGAGTTCATCTAGAAAACAATCAAGCAAAAATAATCAGAAAAAACTTGACTCCCAATAAAACATTAATTGAGAAATAGCCTCACCAGACATTAAATATTATAAAGCCATTTTAATTAAAAGTGGATGGCATTTGCCCATTAGTAAGAAGACTGTTAGAAGAGAATTAAAAAATTAAAAATTAATCAAATTGTATGTGTAAATTTGGTATAAGACAAAGGTATAATTAATACCATTATAATCATGAAAAAGGATCCATTCCTTATAGCAGTCACTAGAATAATTCCAAAGAAATCATAAATTTACATAATTTAAATATTAAAAATGAAACTACATAAATATTAGACAAAAACATGAGTAAATTCCTCTATAGCTTTAGTGTTAAAAAAAATTTCCTAATTACAGCTCAAATCCAGATGCACAAAGGAAAAAATATTTGGTGAGCTTGACAAATAGACTATAGATATAAAAATAAAAATGTTTCATAGCAAAAAATAACCACCATTGTGATATTTGAAGTGAAACACCATAATGACATAATATAAATCTACCTCTAATTTATATCATAGACAAAATACTAATGTTATTAGAATATATGAGCTTCAAATCTATGAAAAAAAAGGAAAATTGGCAAGGTATATAAATGTACTGTTCACAGACAAAGAAGCATAAATCCTTTAACCATAAGAGAAAATGCTCAACCTGACTCATTTAACTGAATGCAAATTAAAACTAACTGGGTTTCCAATTCTCCCCTACAGATTAGAAACTATCAAAACTTTTGACTTTATCCTCTGTTGGCCAGGTTGCGTAAATGAGCCATTCTCATGTACTGCTGTTAAGGATGCAAAGCAGCATAATCCATATATGAGAAAATTGATGAGGCAATAATTGGCAAAATTATGAAAGCATTTGCCCTTTGACCCAGCAATTCTACTGCTAGTAAACAACCCCAAAGCTAAACTGGTAAGCTTTTTATTTTTTTTTATTTTATTTTTCAACAGTCAGGGTCTTTCTCTGTCAGCAGGCTAGCATGCAGTGGTGTGATCCTAGCTCACTATAGCCTCAAACTCCTGAGATCAAACAAATCCTTCTGCCTCAGCCTCTCAAGTAGTTGGGACTGCAGACACACATCAGCACACCTGGATAATTTTATAATTTTTGGTAGAGACAGGGTCCCTCAGTGTTGCCCAGGCTGGTCTGGAACTCCTGGGTTCAAATGATCTTCCTTCCTCGGCATCCCAAAGTGCTGGGATTACAGGTGTAACCCAATGCACCTGGCCACTGGTAAAAATTTTGAAAAGGCATATAGACCAGAATCTTTATCCAGCAAATGCCCAACAATGGGAACAAAATAAATACACTATATTTTATCTTTACAGTGGAGTACTATGCAGTTATACAAAAATAAGAAATATCTGTGCTAAGATTAAATGATCTCCAAAATGTATATTTTACATGACAAAAAACATGAAAAAGTGGATATCTAAGGGCAAAACAAATGTATGTGTGTGTGTATATATGTATATATGTATATATATGAATATATGTATATATGTATATATATATTTGACTACAATTGAAGTTTAAGTCACTTTTTAAAATTAAAAATGAGGGAAGAAATAGGATACAGTAGACAGTAAGAAACACTAGGCTTCTCTTGGTACACATGGTTTTATAGGCCACACTTTGGAATTCTGTAGATATTTTACACAATTATAAAACAAAAACAAACAGAAAAATGATCTCAAAAATTTGTATTTGCAATGAAATGAATAAACCTAACTGTGCATTAAGCTGATGACATACTCAAAAACAGAGAAACTATTCCAAGTTACTATAAAACAGTGATTTCATACATTCTGAGTAAGATATACACTAAGCCAAAAAAGGAGAAGGTGTTTAAAAAATTCTTAAACAGTTTCACCAACTATATTTTTGGTGGCAGTGGTTAGTATTTTTGTCTTATACTGTTGCATAGTGTATATTGTGGGATAAATAATTTGGGAAATTATGTTGGTGTATTTGAAATCCAGGATTTTATGCATTGGAAATGGAGATGTGAGACTGGTGAAGTAAAATGAAACTCTGTAGGCCTAAATGGAAATGTAATTGTTAATATAAAATTATTAATGGTAGTCTTTACAAAATAAACAAAAATTTTTAAACTCTGGTCACTGAAAAAGCCTAGAAACAATGACAAACCAGTAGTAACGATGACTCTTAATACCTAGATTGTGATTTTCAATGATCTGTAAATACTATTTCCCACCAAAAGCAACTGGTCTTCTTGAGGGCAGGACTGATTTGAGGTCTGAGAAAGGACATGGACAAAATTTCCCTGGAAACATTTATCATAGCAGAAAGCAAGAAGATAGCAATGACTACTAAGGTCATGGTAAATGGACCAAGCCAGGAGCCAACATAAAGAACTCTCCTTATGCAAGAGTAGAACAAATTGAATCTCATTAAAAGTAAAAACTACTATGTATTGAAACACAGCAAGTATTTTTAAATATATGAATTGAAATACATGAATATATAAATATATGAACATGAAATATATGAATGGTTAAAAACAATCTTTGGACACCATTAGTAGATGCTATTTTTAAATTAGTTTTTTAAAGAAAATCTATCAAGAGTTTATCTATTTATTGCGGGAACCACACATTGAGAAATAGGAAGCAAATTTTCTCTTTATTGCAGTATTTTAGCTAATGAATAGAAAAGAAATAACAGAATTAAAATATGTCAATTTTATAACACCTCTCCCCCAAAATAATAGACCTAATCTATGACCATTTATAATTGTTACAATTACACAAAATGGTATAAGCAGGCATTACATGCCTTCAGGAAAATGATATTCTGAAAATATTCACACCCAATTCTGATTTAGCTTCTGCCTCTACCTATCAATTTACAAGAAGTACCGGGGTCAGGGTAACACAGTTATTGACATAAGGGGATTATAATTAGTAAAATGCAGGCTAGAAGAAACTCCAAAAGGTCCATTTACAGGTTTATTGAACAAGTAAATTTATGTTATAGTCTCGAAAAATGCTAAGAGTGGATGTAAAGTGTTGTTTTGTTTTGTTTGTTTGTTTGTTTTTGAGACGGAGTCTCGCTCTGTTGCCCAGGCTGGAGTGCAGTGGCCTGATCTCCGCTCACTGCAAGCTCCGCCTCCCGGGTTCACGTCATTCTCTTGCCTCAGCCTCCCCAGTAGCTGGGATTACAGGCGCCCGCCACCACACCCAGCTAATTTTTTTGTATTTTTGGTAGAGACAGGGTTTCACTGTGTTAGCCAGGATGGTCTCGATCTCCTGACCTGGTGATGCACCTGCCTCGGCCTCCCAAAGTGCTGAGATTACAGGGGTGAGCCACTGCAACCGGCCATAAGGTGTTCTTAACTGCAAAAATTAAAACTACGTGAGGGAAACATATATATGTTAATTAGCTAGATTTAGTCATTCCACTGTGTATATATACTTCAAAACATGTTGTAAAAGATAAACCCATACAATTTTGTCAGTTCATAAAGTAAAATAATGTTTAAAAATTTAAGAAACAACCAAATGTATAGACCTTTTTGATACCTAATTAAACTGTAAAACGTATTTATGAGACAATCAGAAAATTTTGAACAAATACTATACATTTTATATTAGTTCTTATCAATTTTTAGGTGTGTTTTAATTATATAATAGTTATATTTAAAACATATTTTAGAGATATACACTAAAATGCTTACAGATAAAATGTTAAAGTGCCACAGATTTGTTTTATAATTATCTGAGTGTTAGAAAATAGATGAGGCCTGAGTTGATAATTTTTAAAAGCTGGGTGGGTGGCTTCTTGATGGTATTCCTTCCATACTTGAAAATGCTAGATACTTCATATAGTGAAATGTTTTATCTTTCCCAAAGCATACATGTGTGCACAGAGTATAGACATTGTCATAGCAGAAAGCAAGAAGAAATCCAAAATTGAATTTCTGATTGTAGAAATCTGAAAAAAATAATTTACATAAGCCCCTCTAGAACACTAATATTTACAATTTTTTTTCTATCTATCCCACACTCTGGTTTTACTCTTTAAGCCTAAATCTATTGTTTGACTACAGTGACAAGAAAAGGTGGCTGAGAACTATGGCACCTGCTGTTGGCTGAGCATGGGAGAATCGAAGACTTGTATTTACTGGAGGCATTTAAAAATAGGATAAGGGTCTCACCAGACGAATGCATTATACATTATATAGGGAGAAGGATATCAAACTGGGATATGATCATCAAAAATGCTGGATAGAGGCCAGGAAGTGTGGCTAACACCTATAACGCCAGTACTTTGAGAAGCTGAGATGGGAGGATATCTTGAGCCCAGGAGTTTGAGAACAGCCTGAGCAACATAGCAAGAGCACAGCTCTACAAATAATAATAATAATAATAATAATAATAATAATAATAATAATAATAATTACTTGGGCTTAGGGGCAAGCACACTATAGTCTTAACTACTTGGTAAGCTGAGGTAAGAGGATCACTTGAGCCCAGAGTTCGAGGTTCCAGTGAGCTATGATCATGCCACTACATTCCAGCCTGGATGACAAGAGTAATATCTTATCTCTAAAAAACAGAGAATGCTGGATAGAGAATAATTTACACAATTTAGCAAGCTAAAATTCAAAGGTTTCCATCCGGAATTGTAATATCAGAACAACTGAGGAATATGCATGGTTAAGTCGGATTTTATGTTACATAAATGTGTAGTACATAGCTTTCTTTTTTCCTAAAGCAATATGGGAAATTAGAAGAGGAGCCAATACAAGCGACTTGGCATTGCATTTCACTTTATTTTAGTGTCAGATATGTGTACAAATAAGTTTCTATCTTCCTTAGGATAGTCAAAGGTTAATTTAATTTATATGTGATAAATGAGATAAAAAAGGAGATTTTATATTCAGATAGAAGTGCATTATATTATTATTAAAACCATAAAGAATTTAGTTTTATCCAGAAGCCTAAAATCCCAGCCTATAAAAACTGATTTCAGAAAGCTGCATTTTTTAACAAAAAGCGTTTTTTTCTATAGCCTTCATTAAAATAAGTTGTATATACCTAGTTTGCTTGTGAATAGTTTATAATGCTTTCAGTATGTCTATTTTTTTATTTAAATAATAAGCGGTGGGGGGAGCTTGAGAAACACATTTTCCCCATTTCAGTTCTTTAATATTTTTGTCTTGATTATAGAAATCCAAAAAGAAAAGAAAAGAAGAAGGAAACAAGGAGAGAAGAGGAGAGGAGAGGAATATGTTCATAGAGAATACAGCCCAGAGTGCTGCAATCCCATTCAGTACTTCTTTTTTGAAAGGAGAGAAATCCTAGCCCTGCATAGTTATGCATTTCCAGCAAAAGATAACAAGTCCCTGAAAAACAAGAACTCATTATAGTAGGCAACAAAATAGAATCAATATAAGTTTGTAACATAAACAGTTTTAGATTTTAATGATTCATTCTAGTTCTTTTAGTAATGTGTAATTTGAAAGTTTACATTGTTATTTGCTTGTTGGTCATAGACATTGGGGTTATTATACTTAAAATAGGTGGGGTGCATGTGTGCACGGGCACAAGTGTGTGTGTGTACTTTGAATAGTTTCTACAGATTAACTTACTTTGGACAGAGACTGAGTCTCTCCATATATAAAAGTCTAATTAAAATACAGTTTTTACAGATTTTATGGCCAAAAACTAAAATCTAAATTTAAAATATTAACATGTAAGTTTATTCCTTACTTAGAAATACTTGAATGTCTCTTACCTTTATCCAATACAGACATACAAAATAAAATGTCATTCCCTTAATCCTCTTCCTATGCTGGAAATGCCTGTAAAAGAGTCCTACATTTTCTATATTTTAGATCTAAAACAATTTTGAATATTACCTAGGGCAAGAGGATATTATCTCTTCAGGGTATTAATTACTTCACATTGAGAAGTTAATATAAAACCAGGCTAAGATAATGATTATATCACCAAGGGAACATGCTTAGACCCAATTAATCAAATTAATAATTTGATTAACAGATATAATGAATTAATTTAATCAATGTACTATTATCTAAAAGAGTATCAAAATATGCAGATCTTTTGTGACTAAACATAGAGGCTGCATAAATTTAAACATACATTTACATTATATTGAAGAGAAACTTTGATGTATTTAGTGTTATCAACCTGTTCACAACACTTTTCCATTCTAAATTGCAGATCTGGAAATACTGTAGAATTCTGGAACTTTGATTGCAGGCTTTTAAAAATAGAAACAACAACAAAAAGCAGTCAAATGTGTCTACTGAGAGTATAACTAAAACACACACAGTAACAAGCCAGTTGGTAGCTTAGAAAAATAAATCAATTACAAGAGTTTGCCAACAGAACACCATTAGACCCCATGTTTTCTGCTGCATTGGTGGGCCATATGGTAATGGATTTATTCTACGTTGACAGGAGGACAATTTTCCAAAAAAAAAAAAAAAAAAAAAAGATTGACATTTTGGTTTTTTTTGCACTGCGCTTAGTTATGAGGTAATTATATTGAAATATGGTGCATGTTTGTTCATATATGAGCCTTGATTACGTTTTCAATCAAAGAAATAATTTAAGATATATCTCCATGCTGCATTCATCCAATAACAAAAGTCCATGGGATGAGTGAAACACTGCAGAGCTGGAGTTCAGGTGGTCTGCAGTCATAAGACCTCCCTTTAATTTGCTGGTTATTCTTCAACAAAGCTTCGGAACAATCCTAGATTTCTACCACCATTCTGAAGCCAACCTGCTCTGAGTAAGAGGATGATGGTATCAAGAGATCAGCTTTTTGGTCCCGACCACAGAATATGGTACAGTTCTGCCACCTAGTGGTTGCCTTCTCACACGTGACTTGGCAGCATTTACACTTGGTAGACTCTGCATCTACAAAGAAAATGGTGAAGTTGGGAACAGCCAGCAAAAGCTTGGCAAGTCGCTTTCCACCATGTAAATAGAGAAATAATCCAGGTTTTAACTGAAATAAATATAAACGCTCTTATTTTAACATACGAAACAGGTGAGGCCTTCACATTCTGGTCTCTGTCCACCGTCCAACTTGCGGTTATTCAAATGCACCGTATTCTCTTATGGTCTCTTCTCTGGGTGCATAATTCTCTTATTTATCTTGGCTAGACTGAAGATTCTTATATCCTTTAATTTGGGAATTGTGTCCCCATGAAGCCTGCACTGAATCCTGGTCTATTTGCCCCATGGTATTTCTCCCAGCTGATTGTCCTTGTGAATCCCTGCTTACCTTGTAGAAGAAAAATTCCTGGGCAAGAGTTTTGCCTTTACATCTTTGGATAGCCCCAGCACTTAACACTGTGTCTTTGGCCCATAAATATGTGATGTATGATATGTATGATATAAATATGTGATGTATGTGATCCTTTGGAAGAGGAGTTTAATTCTGAATTTAGCACAATTATTCTTATAGAAAAATGAAGCAAACACTTATTTAAAAACATACTATTTGCCAGATGTGGCCTTCTTAGGCTTTCTAAACCAGAGTTCCCAATGTTTTCATATGATTTACATGCATTCATGTTAAATATATGGGAAATTTAGATCCTTGGTAGTACAAGGAGTAGAATCTTGAGGAGTGCTGTAAAAAAATCTTTAAGGTTGATTGTAAAAGAAAATCTAAACAAATTATAAACAATATTTCAAGATTCATCCTGCCAGAGTGGTGAAATAAAGAACAAAACTAAAAAATGTGTACACTTTACTTAGAAAATAAGATTCTAAATCTTCACTTTGTGCAAGACCTTTAATCTCATAATATGCAATATAAATTTTCATGGTGGTCAGAAAAGCAATTATGTAAAAATTCCACTTTGACTTAATTTAGCTCATCCTGGCCTATCTTCAAGCCACACCTGCTTACTGTATTGACCAAAATAAACATTCACCCATTTCTGTATTACATAACTAAAAGAATTACGTAAAAGCCAGCTTAGATTCTTTTTTCAATATTTGCTGAGCTTACAACACAATCCTGGTTTAGAATTTTATTGTCCATAGATAAACTATAGAAGATAAAATTTGATGCTAGAGGTTGCCATGTGGAGTTTGCAAAACTACTGGTTATGAAATAATATCATCTTTGCATGCAGATGGAACATTTGATATGGAGAAATAAACAGCAAACGTTTAGAAGGCCAAGATACATGATTAAGTATGGTACTCTTTAGCGAGTGGCTCAATACAATCTGTCATCAAAATGTTCTTATGTGAGAGTTCACCTGCCTCATTTCTCATGCCTTAGATGACTATTTTTCAGATAACTGTGATAAATTTAGAATGAACCAAATACTTTCTGTGATGCTTTTGCTTAATAAGTTTAAAAAGAGATAAATAACAGAATCACATTTATAAGGTATCATGTATATTATAATATATATGTGAAATCTTAGCGTATCAGCTTCCACTTGCTTTTAAGGACGTATAAAACTCAAAACAATGTTATCATTCTTTGGAAGGGAATATACATTAAATAAAAATGTCAAGTTGTCTTAAATTTAATGGAAATTTAATGGAAATCAAGTAAGCCAATATTTTCCTAGATAAGAAGTAGCTTTATTTGTTGCTTTCTTTCATTACATCAGGGAGCTGTTTTATCATGTTTTATTGTTAACTTTATTCTGAATTTCAATCCTAGGAAAAGCCTATGTGGCGTAGTATGTATGAACAAAACAGACCTTTAGCTTTACGTAGAGAAGTAATTTCCAAACCTGGCTTCTTAGTAAGTCCTGGGAGCTTTCAAAGCACACAGATACCTTGGCCCCAGCCAGTACCTACAGAAGCAGAATCTCTGAAAGTTAGTTCAGGAATCTGTGTCTTTCAAAAGTTGTCCAAGTGGTTCCTACATATTGCATTTTAGACCAGTAATTAAAGTGGTGTTTGGTTCTCAAAATGTGAGAACAAAGATTGGTTCTCAAAGTGTGGTCCTCAGAACAGCAGTGTCAGCATCACCTGAGAGCTTGTTATAAATGCAAATTTTTAGAACACTCCAGATCTGCTGAATCAGAAATTCTGGAAGTGGGGCCCAGCAACATGTACTTTAACAAACCCTACAGGTGATGCTGAATCACACTAAAGGTTATGTTTGAGAACCACTGGTTTAAAAAAAGAAGTTGAAAATTGAGGATTCTTTTAATTCAATATGATTTATCAAATGCTTACTGTTTTGAGAAAATATAAATAAGATTCCTAATTTATGGAGGATACAATATAACCAATTCTATTGTGTCTTTACTTGTGATTTGTTTTATGATTTTAAACGAATTATTTACTTGTTAATATCTCCTTTACAATAATTGTTTATTTTCTTTAAATTATCAGTATAAACCCCATATGCAATAGGTTTAACTTAATTATATTTTTACTGAAAGTACTATATTGCCTCAATAAACTGTTCTCCAAAATACCTATTTTGTGAATTTTGAAAGTCTCTTCTTTTGGAAGAATCACAGAATTATAGAGACTGGGAAGAGAGATAATTTTGCCTCATTTTATAGACTGAACAAATAAGCAAAATTACACTCTGAAAACAGAACAGAAAGTCTTCTACATGATAACAACAAAGAGCCCTTGATAAAAAGATTTTTCAAATATTACCTTGTTTGTCATATCACCGTGAGACAGGCATTACTGCTATAACAATGTAAATGTCGAAAGTGAAGTTAAATGACTTTCTGGTAGATACTGATCTGGCAAATAATTGAGCACAGATTATAAAACCAGACCCTATAAATTTTAAATCTATGATCTTTACAACAGACTCCACTGCCAGGAAATTGAATGTGCATAGTAGGCTCATAATATATATTTGTGTAACTGAACTGAAAAGATAGCTTCATTTCTAGGATGAGGAAAAACTGGTCATTGCTTTTCTATTCTATTAATTCCTGTTGGAAAGAGATATCTTAAGAAATAGCACTTGGAATTTCCAGCCATGAGCATAAAGTAAAAAAACCAATTCATCTGCATTGACGGCACTGATTTACAGAGGTACACAAATAATGATGCCTAGACAATATCCAGGGTTAATTGTTTTCCGGCATCAAAAAGCTTGAATTCATTGTTCCTGGGGCTATAAAACAAATTAGTGCTACCCAGATCTCAGGAGCTCATGTTTTTAAGTACCTCATCAACATTTAAAATGAGCCATTTATTTTTCTAGACATTTGATTTCAGCTGAACTATTGATCACTATGAATTTTCTTATGGATAAGTATGAATTGCTCCACAACATTAAGAATACCAAATAGCTCATGTTTCTTTTCAGTAAAATCAAAACCAGATTTTAGCTGCCAATCATCTTAGTTGACCAGGCCAACATCCATTCATTTTCAAGTCTCACTTCCTACTATTGATCAGACAAGAACAGTGAAGCATACACAGTTCATAAAAATGAAGCTCTGTCTTCTCCGTGCTCCTTCATGTTGGTCACTGGGGCCACTGGCCTTTACCCAGGCATCAGGAACACAACAAGATAGCTGGCTCTGCATTTCCCCAGTCAATTCCAGATCAAGCAATGAGACTTTTTCAAAGTTCTCTGAATTACAGTTCTCAACACACAGTCTCCCCTCAGAGATCCTCACAGCAATCACCATGGAAACTGTCATTCCAGGGATAATTCATTTACTCAAAGACCAATTCTCAAAAATCTCAGAATGTGTCAACCCCTCCACACTCATATTCCAGTCTCAGGAATTTCAATTATTTGTGGCAGGCTACTTATTTCTCCAAACTCCAAGCACAGAGACCAGAGACATCTCCTCTCTCTTTCTTTTTCTCTCTTTCTCTCTCTCCCTCCCTCCCTCCCTCCTTCCCTCCCTCTCCATTCAACCTATTTGATTAATTAATAGAACAATACTTTACAAATTTTAAACAAAAGAACATGCACATAAGGCATCCTTGGATGCACTGGATTTTCCCTCTCATATTATATGGAATACACTGCTCTTCCTGTAAAATTCAAAAAGACCATTTACTTCCCTTGGAGTAAGAACAATTCAAGCCTTTAACTACATGATTCTGGCCTCTCTACTGAGTCTACAGCAAGTATTACTGCTAGGAATAATAATAAATTAAACATGGAAAGCCAAATAACAATATTTCAATATATCACTTTTAATACAGATCACTTTGCCTCTCAGAAACCCTGGATAGCCTAGAAGTATTATGGAAAGTCTCTCTAAAAGCCCTCGTTCAATTTTTTCCCAATTAGCCTTAATGATCACCTCGATTTCATCCCATGTAGAGGATTATAGGAAGAACAAAGAAATCTGTGGATTTATAGCCAACCTATTTATATTTTTTAAAAAAACTGGATTTACAGCCAACCTATTTATCTTCAAACGGCAACACCTCTTCTCATGAGTAAAGTACAAAAAAATGTATGTAGAGATCCACTGTACATACATCATGTAGTCTTCATACTATGCTCATAAATGCTTCATATGACAGGCAGTCCAAAGTGGTCGTTGAAAGCAGGGATTCATCCTGCTCCGGATAAACTGGGAAAGCTGAGCCTGCACCAGGAAAATGGAAGCCAGGACTTAATGGATGATTGAAACTGAAGAATGAAGGAGTTAAAGGAAATGGAGGAGGCAAATAACAATTTGAGTGTTTTAACTGCCTAGCAGTTTATACCTTTCATTGAGACTTGGCTTTCAGAAAGAAAAAGAGAGATCTAATAAAAACTATAATAATTTCAGTTTTCAACATGTTAAGTTTAAGGTGCCTCTGAGACATTCAAGTTACCTGGGGACTATTCACACTGAAGTTCTCAATAGAAAGATATTTAGATACGGAATTCAGAAGAGAGGTCTGAGTATGAAAATTTCAGCTTTGTACAAAGATTTCCAGCTTCAAGCATCAGAAACTTTAAATTACCTTTTTATTTTAATTATTGTAATCACCTCATTTCTAAAGGCTTATCTTTTCTTGCATCCTGCTAATCCCCAGAATTTAAATTTTGCGTCCTCCTTTGCTAGTAAAGAACTATCTTTAGGAACAGCTTCTATTTTGGAGGGATAAGGGGAAAGGACTGCTTTAAAAACTAATGCTGAGAGATTTCAAAGTTTTAAATAAATTCCAGGGGCTGACTCCTTTTGGTTGTAAGTAAATTGAAGAAAAAATGCGTTCTGTATTTTATAGTCTTAATCAAAGTTCCAGGAGTCCGGAGACCAGATTTTATGGAGCTAATAGGCAAAGGACTCCACTGATCCAACTGATATAAATAAGCCATCTTGAGTCACTAAGGTTTACTAAATTGCCACGTCCTTCATTGCTCCTCCCAGTGTTTGTTTTGTTTTGTTTTCTTTTGTTTCAGGGAATGAAAACACCATGTATCCAATCTGTTCAAGCTAGGAAAGTTTTATTCTGGCAACCCCTCAGCTGAAATTTTTTGGGTCAGTCTGTACTTCACCAAAGCCATTCCGTTCTCTACAAACTCACTTTGACTACTCTAACTTGAACTTCAGTGTTAGTAAATAGCCATCACGTCTTCCTGCCTGCTGTTTAGAGTCAGGTAACTTAGTTTTGAATGCTGGCTTTCTTCACAATCCCCACACTCAGGACTCCCCTCGACTAACTACCTGGAAAAATTTGAGTAAATTATTCAGCCTCTCTATGAATCTCTTTCCTTAGATGTAAAATGGGCATAACGCTGCCTACTTCATGAGATTGTGAGGATTAACTGGTAGTGTATATTAAGGTACTTTGCTTAATGGATGACACATAACAAACACAAAAACCCAATATTTTTTACTTTTTTTCTCTTCTGTGCTTATTAGATATTGTTACTATGATTTATAAATAAGAAACCAAATAAGAAGAAAGATAACTAAGGTAATTTCACAGCCACTAGGTGACAGATGCCATTCACTGTGACTCCAACTCCACATGTCTGTTTATCCTACAATGACATTGCTTCCTTGCATTTCCACCAGCATTTCATGTGTTCCAATTCTACAATTTTGTACAAGCAATCTCTTGCACCTAGAATGCTTTTCACTACCTGCTCTACATGGAAAACTCACTCTCATGTTTCTCATCCATTCAAATATCACCTCTTCTCTAAAGTATTTTTTATATCGAGGCAGAGATAGCAGTTTTGTCTTCCCTGAGCCTAGAGCACATACTATATAATTCTCTATATAAATAACTCCATTAAAGCACCAGTAAACTATGAAATCCTCAGGGGCAGAAACAGTTTTATTCACCATTGAATCACAGACCTATCACAGTGTCTTGTGTATATTAGGGTTTCAATAAATCTTTTATACATTGTCTCATTTCCCCTATTTCATGGGGCCTTCCATAACTACCTTATCTCTAAATGTTAACATGCCCCAGAGCTCAAGCCTTAGACTTCATTTTCATTTATAGACTTGCTTCTTCAGTGATTTCAACCAGTCCCTTGATTCTAAATGATCTAAATACTTAGGATGCCCATATTTATTCTTTTAGCCTGAACCTCTCTCCTGACCTTTAGACTCATATATTCAATTATAAATCTTCACTTTACATAGTAAATAATCTTCAGTTTATATAATAATACATCATCGTTAAAATGTATAAAACTGAGGCCTCCAATCTTCCCCATAACTTGTTTCTCCCACAGTCTTATAATCTATATTAATAACAACTTCACCATTCCAATTGTGGTCTTGGGGTTGTCACCGACACCTCACCTGTAGCACCCTGTGTCCATCCCTACTCTCTGGAAGTCTCTATATGGCAGGCAGATTGATCCTTTTAAAATATAGGACAGATTACCTCTTTGCTTACAATCCTCTGATCATCTACTAATTTTATTTGGATCTAATTCAAAGTCCTCATAATGGCCTACTAGTCTCAATATGATTCACACACACCCCAACCTATTGGGTTTCATTTCTCACTCTTCTCCCTGTATCCCACCTTAGCCTCCTTAATGTTCTTTCAACACAAAAATTGTTTACACCTGAGTGTCTAAGTACTTTCTGCTCCCTTCAGGACTTTCCCCTACCCAAATACTCATATGAACTTATTCATTTTCTTCAGGTCACTGCTCAAATGCTGTCTAATCTACACTAGCACACACCCTACCTCCAGCTGTTACTCTATGCTGCTTTACAATATTTCTTTTCTTAGCACTTATCACCAGCTGGCATAATGTATGCCTACTTGATTATTTATTCATTATCTTTTTCCCTGGCTAAATGTGAGACCCATGAGAGCAGGAACATTTCTTTTGGTTCACAGCTTGTTCCTATTGCCTAAAACAATTCTAGACTCATAGCAATGCTCAAAAAATTATTTGTCAAATGAATGAAAGAATAGTAAGTTACCCAATGAGATGATAAAAAATATCAATGAGGTAGTTTTCAAGTTCCAACCATATCTCCCCATTTTTTGCCCAATTTTATTTTTCCAAAAATTCACAATTCCCACCTCCCTCACACTGAGGCATAAAATGCAGTGAACTAACTGTTCCCTGTGACTTGGCTCTCAGCACATCGAATTAAGCCCCATGATATTTTGAAGCACATGGACCACTGAACAAATGGATTAAGTTCCATTTACTTAGCCAAAAAATTTAACTTTGAACATTAGCCATTTCCTATACAGGGAATACTGATGGGAAGGAGCCCTGAGGAAAAGCCAAATTTAGTCCAGACCTCTGAAATTCTCCTCAGAATAAATGGCAATGATGAGTAGAAAGTAGGGATGGGGGGTTTGTAAAGAACTTAATAGTGAGCTGTTCTGAAAAATGCTCTCCCCAAGCCTTTTTTGGATTAAGTTTCGTAAAGGGAACTAAAAGTAGATTGAGTTTAAACCAAAACCCCTAGGGGCCAATTTCAACACATTATCAACCATGTAAGTGTTCTTGAGTAAAAGCCAGTGGAACCTTTGAAATCTCTTGCACTGAAATGAATGAATCTTCTATAAGTTTCTAAGATACTCTAATACTAAGAACGTTGGGCCCAACCTTATAAAAATAAATACCCCAAAGAAGTAGAATTCTTGGCTCAGGTTCTACTATGCAAATTTAATTTTATAGGTCCCCAGTCACTCTTTATACCCAGGCTCTTATCTAAGTGATTTCATGGGAGTATAGGTCTATTTACACACAAACACTGTATGGCTGAAAAATAATCAGTCATATAATAGGGTCTTTTTAATAAGTTAATATAAATGAGAGATTTCTCAATAAGACTATACTCAAGGGAAAATTTGCCTTAAAATTAAGCCTGTTGTAGAAAATTTTAATAACAGGAAGGGTGTGGCCTCAAAAACCTCCTGAAACAAAAGCACGCACTTATCAAGCATAGGCATCCAAAAATCTGGTACCTTACTGTTGAGGTCAAATGGTTCCACTATTTTCTGCAGGTTCACCCTCTTGATGAATAAAGCCCTTAGAAGAGCAGACTGTAGACATCCCTTGAAAAACAAAAAACTGGCAGGAATCCCTAAAATAAGACTATTACAAAACTGAAATTATTGATTCATTTTTAGTGTCTTCAAGTAAGCCCTTTAGCAGAAAAGAGATTATTATATTTTAGCATTTGCATGAAAAACTGTCTCAATTCAATTCAATAACTGTGTAGATTGCTCATTTTGTAGTTTATATTGTCCTTCATACCGTGGGAGAATATGAAGAGGTGTAAGACCCCATTCTGAACTTCCAGGCCCCGATCAATGAATACATCTGAAGGCTATGAATACTATAACAAAAAGCAGGAGATGACATATGACCTAAGATGTGTGCCAAATGTTTGGGGAACTTAGACATTGGGACAATCCCATCTAACTGAAGGATTCATAATAAAATTCACAAAAGGAGATCTTAACTGAATTGTGTGTTGAAGGTTGAGCTGAGATTGGGAGTGGATTTATAGAAAGAAGGAAATCCTGAGATAACTGAGAGGGAGTTAAGTCCAGGATATGTTTAGGGTGTAGGGAATGATCCACGTGTTAGGCGGCTTTCAAGATGACCCGCAATGATCCCCACTTCCTAATATTTACACTAGTGTGTTGTCACCTCCCATTCAGTGTGGGATGACCCCCCACCCAAGTAACTTGCCTCTAATGAACAGAATAAGGCAAAAGAGATGAGATGTTATTTCCATGATTAGATTACAAAAGAATGACTTCTATCTTGCTGTGTTCTTTCTATTGCCGTCTTGGCTTGCAAACCTTGATGAAGTAAGCAAACTACCATGCTGGAAAGGCCATGTGCCAAGGAACTGAAGACTGCCTTCAGTCAACAGCAAGTAAGAAACTGAGGCTTGTATTCCAACAACCAGCGAGGAACTGATCCTGCCAAGAACAATGTGAGTAATCTTGGAAGCAGACCTTTCTCCAGTTGAGTGTTGAGATTATGATAGCCACAGGAGACACATTGATTGCAGCCTGTGAGAGACTCTGAAGCAAAGGACTTAGTTAAACTATGCTCAAATTGCTGACCTAAGAAAATTTAAATGAATTGTTTTAAGCAACTAAATCTTGGGGTAGTTTGTTATGCAGGGATAGGTAACTCCTGGAATCCATATTATTACATGGAATCATTATTTACATGGTGCTTTACTATTTTCAAAAAACTTTCCCAAACGTTATCATTTGATTTTTCATAATCCTATGGGGTAGAAAAAGCAGGTGCAATGTGCATTTGATAGATCAGGAGAAATTGCTGTAGTTTTATGGTTTATACTCAGTGTCACACAACTAGCTAATGTTTTGTCTTTAGTTCAGTGCTCTTTTCATTACAAAACCCAAAGGAATGGAAGGCTGGAAATTTGAAAGATTTAACATATACTAGGATTATAGTCTTTAATGTGGATGAACAAAATGGCAAGTACTTGAACACAAGGGAATTTGGTTCTGCTGTTTATCTTTGTCTTCCTAACTCTTAAAATCTGAATGTTTCATAAATAAACCTTCTACTGGATTTTATAGATGTGTTTTGGCGTCTTTGTACCTCTGCTAAGTATGTCGCCAAAATGTCAAAGAGTGTTGACATTTCAGTTGGTTTGGAATGGCCTTTCATTTATAAGAGAAAATTGAATAGGGCTGATATGCAAACAGGCAGATTTTCCATATGGAACATAACATATGCATATACCATAATATATTTTATAGAATTATTTTGAAAATTCATGGCCCACCTGTTAAAATACTCAGACAATTGATGCTTCTTTCTCTCAGAAGCATTTTTACTTATATAAATTACTATTAAGAGTTATAAATATATACCTCCTCTCATGAGTGAAGTATACAAAACAAAAACGAATTTTTCTTGGTAAGTCAGAATTATTAAGATTAATTCAACTCTACTCAAATACAATAGTACTCCCAATAGCACTAAATATTGCTGCATTTGGTAATATTTACAACTCCTATGAAGACCTCAGATTTCCATGATTTTTGAACGTGGAAGGACTTTATATTTTCAATTCTTATCCCTCAGAATCAGTTTCCCAATCACAAGCATACTACCATCAATGTTTTTATTTCTACTGGCACCTTTCATTTCTAATTTCCTGCTTTTCTTGTGAAAAAGGAACTCAGAAAATAACCAGTAATTGTAATGATATTTTCAAATGGAACTAAACAGACCCTACACAAGCATTTAAGCCAACATGATTGTGGTAGTAGGAGACAGCCTGTGCAGGTTTAAAGCTTATCACTTAGTAGCTGGATAATGTTGGACAACTTTCTTTAAAAAATTGTGCTTCTCATAATGATTTCTATCTTATAAGGTTGTTATGGGGATTAAATAAGTTGATACTTTGAAAGTGAATTTGGATCCCTGGTGATAGATGGAAGATATGATATCAAAAATGTCTTAGGGGATTCTAATGAGCAGCCATTCATCAGAATTAGAGGTTCTCAATCTGGCTGCTTATTAGAATTACCTGGTACCTCTTAAAAATAACTAATGCTTGGGCCCTGTATTCATTTCCTATTTTCACTGTAACGAATTACCACAAATCTGGTAGCTCAAAACAACACATTTATTATTTTACAGCTCTGGAGCTCAGAAGTCCAAAATGAGTCTCCTGGACCAATATCAAGATGTCAGCAGGGCTGTGTTCCTTTGCAGAGGTCCTGGGGGAGAATCCATTCTCTTGCCTCTGCAGCTTCCAGATGCCACCTGTATTCCTTGGCTGGTGGCCTCTTCTTACAGCTTCAAAGCCAGCAATGGCTGGTGGAGTCTTTCTCACATGCATCACTCTGGCACTGACTCTTCTGCTTCCTCTGCTACATTTAAAGACTTTTGTCATTATATTGGGCCCATGTGGATATCTCAAAATAATCTCTCGATTTTAAGACCAGCTGATTAGTAACCTTAATTCCCCTTTGCCATGTAACATAGTCACAGGTTTCAGGAATTAGAACATAAGCATCTTTGGGAAGCCATTAGCTTCCTGCTACTGCAGGATGCCACCCTCCAAAGATGCAGATTGGATTGCTCTTGTCAGGGATATGCTTCAAATACTCGCTAGGTGAGTCTAATGTCTAGCTTCCATTAAAGACTATTGATGTAAATATTCACAGAGTTTCATGAAATATTATCCCCATGAAATGTTCAGTAATGCTCAGATTAGGTTTTAAAAGTATTTAATTAAATACATTAGAGGTTAAAGAGAGTAAGAAGTTCTGTAACAGAGAAATCTGCTCAACCCTATTTAACTAGTCTCTCAAACTTTTTGGTGTAACACCTACTAAGGACCTAAGTAATCATTTATCTATGTAAGGCATCTGGGAGCTAATGTTCTAGGGAGGAAAAGGTCTGAGTGTAATGATACTTATTTTGCTTTGTTTTATTCACTCAAATGCTTTTTAAAATAGTTTTTGTTTTCCTATTAAACTATCTGTTGAAGTGGGACATTTCAAGTGCTTAAAATTAAAATGCAAGGCATTTATTCTGTATTGTATAACTACACATAATAAGAATAAAGTTGTCAATACAGTATAATTATTATTTGAGGAGAGAGGAAAAAAATGAGAGCTAAAGAGACCCCAAAGCAGAATTGCTTTATTAAATAAAAACTGGGATTTTTCATACTAATATCTGAGGACTGACTTGTTTATACAAAATCTTATAATGACTCAATAGCATAAATGAAATTTGATCTGTTCATTTTACATAATTTTGTTGTGAAGACAGACAATATCTGAAAAATTATGAAATTTATGCCCATATTTTCTAGAAGACTTGTTCATATATAAACTATTTCCCTCTCTGCAGAAATCTACCTTCCTAAATTGCAAATATATATATGGATCATATACCATGTGAAACATTTTGTATCTATTGAAAAGAGACTTGTGATTATCTACATCCCATGGTTGGACTGTCACCAAGTGCAAACTGCATTTAGAGCACATGGCAGAGATTCTACAGGCAGTCATTAGAGATTTTGTCAATACAATTTCAGACAACATCATGTTCAATGTTTAAACATTGTCCTACTCCCTAGCTCAAAATATATGGTTCAGGGCTTTTTCTCTATCTTGGAAGTGATGCAGAGTGACACACTGCATAAAGTGTTGGTTAAACACACAGCCCTGGAACCCAGCTACCCATGTTCAAATCCTGACTGCCTCTTTTATTGGATATATCACCTTGGGTAGGTTATTTAACCTTTATGGTCTTTGATTTCTATTCTGTAAAATTGGCATAATAATGATATCTCAATGCTTGTAACTTATTAGGCTCACTAAATGTTAGCTCTTATTTTTGGTTCATTACGTTTACATTTAGTAGAATTAATTTGATTAAATGCTTACAAATTTAGTTTAAATATATTATTTTAAAAATTTTATAAAAAACAAATTTGCAGCTTATATAATTAAGAAGCTATGAGGAATTCGATCTGAAATACTGCTAAATGAGATGTGCATAATTTTTCTACCAATTAATGTTTTTCATTTTTTAAAAAACAGAAGCAATTTTAGAAGCACAGTTCCCATATTTGCAGATAAAGCACTGAGTCCAAAAGAGACTAAGTGACTTACATATTTTTACAACACATAAAACGTAAAGGATAAAAGGCAAAGTTGCAAGCTTTTTTGCTGAAACAATTTTACTGTATTAAGATCTAAAAACTACTTAAAATCCTTGAAAGCGTTTAGAATTAAAATTTTACAAAAAGTTCATTCAGAAAACCTTCACTGAATACTTACTGCGTGACAGTCACTGTCCTAATGCTAAGTAAAAAAGAGGAACAGTGATAAAAAGGTATGTGGGAATTAAGGAGATTTATTTTGAGAGTGTCAGAAAGGAAGGGGCCCGTTGACTCCAACACTCTCTTATATAACTGATGAGGTTATCAAGTTTTAGAAAATGTTTAAAAACCTTGCTCATAATCCCTCAGCTAGCAAATCACATATCAAAGTTCTGCAACTGTGAGTTTGTCTACCCAGCAAATATTGACCTTTATAAGAGATTCTGAGACATACAGGGAATAAAATTATGCAATCATTATATTGAATAAAAGAGAACTGCTGTCTTAGAAAATTTTCTTAACATTTATTTAATTTTAAAAATACTTAAAAAAAGACCAGGTGCAGTGGCTCACTCCTGTGACCCCAGCACTTTGGGAGGCCGAGGTGGGCAGATCACGAGGTGAAGAGATCAAGACCATCCTGGCCAACATGGTGAAACCCCATCTCTACAAAAAATACAAAAAAATTAGTCAGGAGTGTTGGTGGGCGCCTGTAGTCCCAACTACTCAGGAGGCTGAGGCAGGAGAATGGCATGAACCCGGGAGGCAGAGGTTGCAGTGAGCCGAGATAGTACCACTGCACTCCAGCCTGGGCAACAGAGCGAGACTCCGTATCCATACACACACAAAAATACACACACACACAACAAAAACAACAACAACAAAATTCTGAAATTTCTCCCAGGATATTGAAATTTTTTTTGAAAGGTTTTGAATTTAAAAAGCAAATATTTTTTGTTTTCTTTTTTTTATTTTATTATTATTATACTTTAAGTTTTAGGGTACATGTGCACAATGTGCAGGTTACATATGTATACATGTGCCATGCTGGTGTGCTGCACCCATTAACTCGTCATTTAGCATTAGGTATATCTCCTAAAGCTATCCCTCCCCCCTCCCCCCACCCCACAACAGTCCCCAGAGTGTGATGTTCCCCTTCCTGTGTCCATGTGTTCTCATTGTTCAATTCCCACCTATGAGTGAGAATATGCGGTGTTTGGTTTTTTGTTCTTGTGATAGTTTACTGAGAATGACGATTTCCAATTTCATCCATGTCCCTACAAAGGACATGAACTCATCATTTTTTATGGCTGCATAGTATTCCATGGTGTATATGTGCCACATTTCCTTAATCCAGTCTATCATTGTTGGGCATTTGGGTTGGTTCCAAGTCTTTGCTATTGTGAATAGTGCCGCGATACACATACGTGTGCATGTGTCTTTATAGCAGCATGATTTAGAGTCCTTTGGGTATATACCCAGTAATGGGATGGCTGGGTCAAATGGTATTTCTAGTTCTAGATCCCTGAGGAATCGCCACACTGACTTCCACAATGGTTGAACTAGTTTACAGTCCCACCAACAGTGTAAAAGTGTTCCTATTTCTCCACATCCTCTCCAGCACCTGTTGTTTCCTGACTTTTTAATGATTGCCATTCTAACTGGTGTGAGATAGTATCCATTGTGGTTCTGATTTGCATTTCTCTGATGGCCAGTAATGGTGAGCATTTTTTCATGTGTTTTTTGGCTGCATAAATGTCTTCTTTTGAGAAGTGTCTGTTCATGTCCTTCACCCACTTTTTGATGGGGTTGTTTGTTTTTTTCTTGTAAATTTGTTTGAGTTCATTGTAGATTCTGGATATTAGCCCTTTGTCAGATGAGTAGGTTGCAAAAATTTTCTCCCATTCTGTAGGTTGCCTGTTCACTAGGATGTTAGTTTCTTTTGCTGTGCAGAAGCTCTTTAGTTTAAGTAGATCCCATTTGTCAATTTTGGCTTTTGTTGCCATTGCTTTTGGTGTTTTAGACATGAAATCCTTGCCCATGCCTATGTCTTGAATGGTAATGCCTAGGTTTTCTTCTAGGGTTTTTATGGTTTTAGGTTGAACGTTTAAGTCTTTAATCCATCTTGAATCAATTTTTGTATAAGGTATAAGGAAGGGATCCAGTTTCAGCTTTTTACGTATGGCCAGCCAGTTTTCCCAGCACCATTTATTAAATAGGGAATCCTTTCCCCATTGCTCGTTTTTCTCAGGTTTGTCAAAGATCAGATAGTTGTAGATATGCGGCATTATTTCTGAGGGCTCTGTTCTGTTCCATTGATCTATATCTCTGTTTTGGTACCAGTAGCATGCTGTTTTGGTTACTGTAGCCTTGTAGTATAGTTTGAAGTCAGGTAGCATGATGCCTCTAGCTTTGATCTTTTGGCTTAGGATTGACTTGGCGATGCGGGCTCTTTTTTGGTTCCATATGAACTTTAAAGTAGTTTTTTCCAATTCTGTGAAGAAAGTCATTGGTAGCTTGATGGGGATGGCATTGAATCTATAAATTACCTTGGGCAGTATGGCCATTTTCATGATATTGATTCTTCCTACCCATGAGCATGGAATGTTCTTCCATTTGTTTGTATCCTGTTTTATTTCATTGAGCAGTGGTTTGTAGTTCTCCTTGAAGAGGTCCTTCACGTCCCTTGTAAGTTGGATTCCTAGGTATTTTATTCTCTTTGAAGCGACTGTGAATGGGAGATCACAAATTTTTGTTTTTGATATTTCAACTAGCAATGAGCGAGCTGAGTAGAAACAATAATAACCGGTCTACTAGCAGTTAGGGCAAGAAGCAGATGCCTTTTCACTTTTCTCCCAGTAGTGCTCTAATTGCCGGTGCATGCCCTGGAGTGTGAATCTGACCTTTCTCTGACCTGTGCAGCTTACCTCATTCAAATTGAGAATTGTCCTGCTTCTATTGGGCTTCTGCAGTATGTAGTTCAGTGAGCTGAACTGAGAATTTCACTGGGTTCTGACTATGTCTTATTCTTTTAACTCCTGCCAGTGTACACACATTGTGAAACTGAAAATGGATAGTCTTTTTTCCTTTACATTTGAAAAACATGCCTTTACATTTGAAAAACATGCAGTTTGAAAACAGAAATCCTTACTCACTCACTAGGTACTTTTGCAGTGTCCAGTGCTGTGCTGGGCACCATCCATCCCAGGTTGTCATTGTTCCTCTTCTGTACTACTGCAAGAATTTTTCATTTAGTCTTCCTACTTCCAGTTTTGCCTGTTCACTATTGCCAAATAATCTTAAATCCTACCTCCGATTACATAATTCTGCTGATTAAAGAGTAAAAATACTATCACAAAAACATGCACACATACACAAATGAGTGCAGGTTTTTTAAAAATGGTGAAAACTGAATAAAGTCTGCATTCTAGATAATAGTAATGTCAATGTTCTGGTTTTGATATTGTGCTATAACTATATAAGTTGTCATCATTGGGGGAAGTTGGGTGATGAGTACATGAGAGTCTTTGTACTGTGTACTTCCTGAGTCCACAATTATTTTAAAATAAAAAGAAAGTTAAAAAAATAAATAAAACCTAAAACCTATAAATGACATTCTTCAGATTTTCAAAGTAAGTTTGAAACTCTGTATTGTATTTCAGCATACCCTCCAAATCAGAACCACTTAAACTCTTAAGTCTTGTGCTTACTAAAATACTTTGGCCTTGACCTTCCAATGCCTCTCTCTTCCTCCATTTGACTTGTTAAACACATGGTCTCTTTCAAGGTGCACTTTAAATTCAGCTGCTCCCTTTAAGCACTGTCTGGTCACCAGGTAAATATAATATCTTCCACCTGTGCAACCTTGTGACATCTTTTGATTTTTAGTCCCACTAAATTGTAAGCTCTTGCAGTAAAGAGTTTATATCTCACTTGTCCTTTTAGTCTACACAGATTCTAATAAGTGCGCTCAGCAATATTTATTGAAATGAAATAAAATGAAGCATTCAGCCTTCAAATGCAAGGGCCATTGTCTTATAAAAATGAAAGTGGAGATCAGTTCTAATCAACTAATAAGTCAAAAAATTAAACACACTGAAGATCACAATAATATGTATTTTTAATCTAGTGTAACTTTTCATGTTGCAGAATTTCTTTCTTTGAATATTATTTTCTAGACAGTAGAAAAAGATAACATCCAGCTACAGTTGATACATGCTCTAGAGTTGAACTTGAATAGCAGATCCAGCCTATGAAACATTCAGGCAATCACTGTGGTATATATGTATCATACACATTTCACACCAATTAAAAAGAAATGACAAATTAGCAGGGTCTCCAAAAGTACACTTCAATTTCACCCTTGGATAAATTATTTTTTTCTCAATATAAATTTCTTTTTCTTAGGGTACTTCCCCTTTATCATCTCATTATTTCTTTCCAGTTCCAATAATACAGGGTCCAGCATATTTCTTCAGGGTCACTGGACTGTAGCTCCTATCAAATAAGCTGGGCGATGACCTCAATCTAAGATTCTGCTGCCACTTCAAGGTGGCTTTCCAATCCTGAGACTCAAATAACTACTTGTCCAACACTCATTATGACATGGCATTATTATTTCAGCACCCATTTTAAGGATGGAATATTTAAGCAAATAACAAACAACATAAAAATGTAAGAATAAGCTCAATAAAAATTAAATGAAACGTGTACTTATTTGTTTAATGTGAATCTCTTTGCTTAGTTTCTGAAGTTGCAAAAAGAACCTGTTTTAATCCACTGATAAAGGTAGGTTTCTTTTAAATAATGTGTTCTATCTTGAGCTGTTTTTCATTTGAGGTAATTAAGACACTGACATTCTATAATTAATTCACATTCAATAGCGCATATTGAGAGCCTCCTAAATGGCTGGTACTGTGCTAGACACTGAATCACTTCATTTGTTTTTCCAATCTTTGTGAGGAACTTGAACATGGTAAATATTCCCTCCAACCACAGTCAGTGTCTCCTTATTAATAAAAAGCATTTTGATGACCAAATTGGTGAGAACATTTACCATTCACTCTCTTAGCATTTTTCAACAATACAATACACTGTGTTGTTATTAACTCTAGTCACCATGTAGTAGAGTAGATCTTGAACTTATTCCTCCTATCTAATTGAAATTTTGTATCCTTTGGCCAATATCTCTGAGTTAGTCTAGTTTTGTGCTGCTATTTTCTATGACTACAGAAAGTTCAAGTCACAATTTCTAACTTGCTGATCTTTAATGTAGCACAAACTTTCAAAGAATTCAGGATGAAGTAGGACTGAACTCTGTTGGGGAAGACTAATAAGTATCTTATCAGAAAGCTTATGTCCCAGATTTCACCCTCTGCATCATTTCCTATCGCATCACAGTGTGCTGCTCTTTCATCCTGCCAACTCAAAGTTGAAGTAATTACTTGGTGAAAATGGGCTAACTTTTCCTTGGTGCTGAACATATCCCAGTGACTATGGAGGCGAAATTGTCAGCACTTTCTGAAATTGCCAAAATACCAGGTGGTAATGCTTCTATTCCTTATGATGTGGTGGATATAAAACATGGTGTGTATGTGTAAAATGATTCTTTCCTGATGCAATATTTCAGCTCTACCATGATATAGAAAATTAACTTAATATGTATATGTTGACATATCTGGTCTTATTAAGGATTTTTTGGCTACGTGTCACTATCCTTATTAACTATCTGGTTTTATAAAAAAGATTTCCTTAAGTGTTAAGTAATCTTTTTTCTAAGGTAATATTTTAGACATTTAAGGGAGCATTCATTGTGCTATGTTTAAAGTATCTAATGAAAATAGTTAAGTAAATCAATATAAGAACAGTGAATAGTCCATCTTGTTCTACCTTTAAAACATATCTTTGGTTTGTCTGCTCCACAACATTCTTGCCCAAATCTTTGACTTTGTTCACTGAGGAACTTATATAGGCCCCTTCAAATATTCACTGTTGCTCATAGAATAAAACCTGGAGTTCTGTTTGGCAGAAGGCCTTCAGAATCTTGCTCCTACTACTTCTTCACCATCATCTCATAGCATTTTTTCATCTTGTTCACTACATTAGCCACAATGGCCTTTCTTTTCCTTGAATATACCTAGCCTTTCCCCATCTACAGGCTTTGCACATGTTACCCCTTCTGCCAAGCCTTCTCCTAACTGGTTCATTATCCTTGAGGGCTCACTCAAATGCCTTACCATGTAGCAGACATACATATATCTATTTATTTAAAGTATCATCCTCAATCAATATCCAATGCATTATTCTGTTGTTTTCTACCTACCACTTAAGCACCTCTTATTATCTTGTTTATTTATTTACTTGGTTACTTTCTAATGTACCCGCAAGAAAATAAGCCTCCTGAGCACACTTTACCTGTATGTATAGACTTTATCTATATGCACAACTAGAAACCTGCCTTCGCTAAGCATTTGTTAAATCAAGAAATGATTAGTAAATATCCTGATAATGCATGACAGACATTAAGACCTGATACACTTTATTCATAATGTATATGAAAGAAAAAGAAATAGTAAGAAAAAAAGTTTGTCTGTACATAGGCATATCATGCCTGTATTCGGTGTGTTCCATATCTGTGAGCATATGTGATTTGATCCTTCATAGAAAGCAGATATGTAATTTAAAATTATGATTTAATATGGTTGTTTCACCAATTCATTAGCTCTATAATTCTAATCAGTTATACAATAATTAATTTTATTTTTATTAAATATAAATTATCTTTTTATTAGCTTTTGGGATGCCATGCATGTGTTTTGGGGGGAATCATTATCAAATGAACATATTCGCACTTGTCTATTGTGATCCAATAACAAACAGTGCTAGGCCACTGATGGTTTCTAATAAATGCCAGGGAGTAGCAAAATATAACTTTAAAAGGCATTCAAATATGCAAAGGAGAAAAGACACTTGACAGTTTCATGCTACTTAGAGTTGGAGAATTCAGATTTAAGACTGCAAACTGTGCAGTGCTATATTAAATGGCACTATTTTATGTGGGTTGAAAGGAAAAATGGGGGAAAAAAAGACTTTCTAGTTTTTCTAAAGTTGGCTTCTGATGCAAAAATAGTAGACGGGAGAAACTTGACATTTAAGAAAACATTGTTTTGTCAGAAGAAAGATTCCCAGGGGGACAATATAATATTGCAAAGGTTATGTTCACCTCCCCAGCAGGGCTGTGGATTTATCTTGAAAAAAATATATATGATGAAAAATTAAGAAAACATATTGCTTTGTTGAGTGACATAGAGGGAAATTGTTCATTTAAAAATTCCACAGATCCTTTGATGCTTGCTTGCAAATCTCAGCAAGGCTTTCATCAGTCAAATATACAGCAAAATATGAAGACACAAACTGGAGATATCAAGACACACTGTGCATTTACATTTTCTCCATCTCAAGCTCTCCTTATTTCTGAAGTCCTTTGTCAGCAAGCTGAATGAAATCCTATGGCATGTGAAAGTTCCCTTTTAAAATTGTATTATCTATACTTTATAGATTATTTTTTCTCCTTACTCAGCCAAGATACTAATATTATTCAAGTTCTTCAAATATATATTGCGTGTACTTTGCAGACAATATTGGGTATTGCCTCTGGTTAAGCCACAAACCAGGAAAAAAAAGCTGAGTTTTCTATATAACAGAAAACTTGTGTAACAGGACAACAAAAGACTTTAACAGTTCATTCTTAAACCTGAATGAACCTGCTGCATTGATAAGAAGGCTAAAACTAGAATTATAATACTGCTCAAACTCAGCCTTTGAGCAGTGCCCCTGAGCTGTATATATAATTCACTTTCTCTCATTCATTATTATTCCCAGATAAGGGAAAGGGAAAAAGAAACTCCAATGTACATATTAATATTCAGGTTTTGTGAAAGAAAATGTAACTTTCTCTAGGAGGGTAAATGGTGATAAGGTTTTCCATGTGGAAATCTTTTGAAGAGTGATGTCAGATAGAAACCTAAACAGCAAGACTTTGATTTCTTAAACAAAGAAAAAGAAAAGCATCTGGAGAAATCTTCTCTTTTTAAATTCTTTAAAATATTGATTTTATTTTAAATTTGCAAATGTCAAAATTGTCATGTACAGATATAGTGAATATAGAATCAGGTGTACAATTAACTAAAAACAAAGTAAATACATTTTCCAAAATATGCCCACCAAAATATGAAAAATATAGTCAGATTATTTTAAAATTTTCTCAGTTTTCAATTTTATCAAGTGCTAATGATTAATTGGAATTTTATTAAATACCATTGATTTTGAGACTAAAGGAAAATTGTGTTTTCATTTCATCTTCATTATTCTCTAGAAATCTTTTTTATTTCAACCATTCTTAGTGTTCAAAGTGGCCCATCCTCAGTCAGCAAAATTATTCCAATCAATACATTTACATTAAAGTACTACTAACAATGGTTCAATATTTTACTCACAGTAAAGTTTTAGTTAAACAAAAGGCAATGAGAGAGGGAGTGTTTTAATCCAAAGAAACAATTCTCAAATGCTAAAATTTTAGACATTTTTGCCACTATACACATATAGAAACATGGACCTCTACAATTAACATCACGAAGTGTATCACCTATTTTGTCTGCATGTGGGCTCATACTTTTAAGAAAATGATACTCAAATTTTAGCACACACTTGAAGCATCTGGGCAACAAAATACAGATAGCTTAGTTTTACTCCCAGAGTTTCTGATTCAATAGATATAAGATGAGTCCAAGAATTTGAATTTCCAATTATCTCCAATGCTGCTGGTTGGTGGCCACACTTTCAGAAACATTAATCTAACTCAGTGATTTTCATAGTTGTCTGAAATCACCTGAGGAGCTCTAAAAAAGAAAAAAAAAAAACAGATGCCACCCAGAGATTTGGATGTCATGTGCCTGCCATATGACCTAGAATCAGTCTTTAAAAAAAAATTCTAGGTGATTCTAACATGCAGCAAAGTTTGCTGATTCACTTATCCAAGTACTTCAATAGTGATAATATTAACTAATATTATAAAATTAGGCAATACTGCTCATTTACTTCAAACCTAATCTAACAACATTCAATGTATGCTCATTAAACACCAATTGTGTGCCAGGTGTTAGAAGTACGCTGATCTGTAAAATCCTCTGTGATCTGACCCCTGGAAATCTTTCTGACCTCATCTCTTAATACTCTGCTCCACCTGCCCACCATCACTACTCTCCAGCCTCAAAGGCTTCCTTGCTGCTCCTTCACTACATGAAACACACTCCCAACTTAGGGTCTTTGCACTCACTATCCCCTCTCCCAGGAACAGGCTGCCGCCTTGTCTTCCTCCCTCAGTTCCTCTAGTTCTCAGCTCAAATATCACCACTTCAAAGAGGACTTTATCTAAAAGAGCCCTGCCTTCCCTGCAATCCACTTGCTTTATCATCTTGTCCTTCTTTGTCTTATAGCACTTACTATTATCTGAGTGAGTACAAATGTATTTATCTATCTTATGTCTCTTTCCACTAAACATAAGCTTCACTGCCATATTATGAGTGCCTCAAGATGTACCTGGTATATAGTAGGCACAAAATAAATATTGTTAAACAGATGGGGATGTAATGATAACAAGATGAACACCCTTCTGATGTCATGCAGCTTACCCTTGAATGGGGTTTATTGGGTTTTTGTTTGTTTGTTTGTTTAAAGGGAGGCACTGCACAATGGGAGGAGAATGGTCCAGTTTGCTAAGGAGAGCACAAAGGGCAAGAACCCAACCTGAAGTAATCAGAGAAGATTCCCCAGCTGAAATGATTTGTAACTAAGAAGTAAAAATGAGTAGGCATCTTCCAAGGGAAAGGTGGCAGAAGCACAGGATAATGATGAATTTTAAAAAGTTTAATAGGTAATTCAGCATGAGTCTACTAAATTTGCACTAAGAACTAAGAGCTATAATTGAGCTATAAAACATACATAGAGTCAGATTGAAATCTGAGACCATGAGATCCTTGAAAGCAGGAATCAGACTGATAAATGTTTTCTCTTTTTTTCCTGTCCTACTATTGTTCTAGCAGGTCATCCTGTGCACATAGTAGGCTCTCTATGTGCATATTGATGAATGAATAAGTATATGAATAAAAGACCTCCGCCAGGCGCGGTGGCCCACGCCTGTAATTCCAGCACTTTGGGAGGCGGAGGCGGGCGGATCACGAGGTCAGGAGATTGAGACCATCTTGGCTAACACGGTGAAACCCCGTCTCCACTAAAAATACAAAAAAATTAGCCTGGTGTTGTGGTGGGCGCCTGTAGTCCCAGCTACTCGGGAGGCTGAGGCAGGAGAATGGCGTGAACCCAGGAGGCGGAGCTTGCAGTAAGCCGAGATAGCGCCACTGCAGTCTGGCCTGGGCGAAAGGGCGAGACTCTGTCTCGAAAAAAAAAAAAAAAAAAAAAAAGACCTGCAACCCATGAGAGCTCATAGGTCATCTTTATATTTCCACAATTTCTTACACAGAGCAAGGACTCAAAGAATAATTATTGATTGATGATCCCCTAAGATGAATGATATCACACTTTACTCAAATGCCAAGCTATGTGACTCATCCTACATGAACATGAATTAGATATTATTATTGTATCTGTCAAAATGAAACAATAATTATTTTATTCCATTTCATTTTTTCCACGAGCGACCATGAAATGTGACTATGTTTCCAGTATTGATTTGATTTGTTGCTATGTATTTTTTTGCAAAAATGATTCAGTAAATTATTTGGTGCAAGGTGCCACTGTACTAACTAAAAGAGAGACAAAAGATTTGCCTTTTGAACCTGTCAGCCTGATAGAATAGTACATCTAAGTTTTTGTAATCTTTTTATCCTATTTTAAATCTTGAGGTATCTTAAACTCTTGCATTCTTTCATTGTGACAAATTTTAAAATGACACCACAGAGAACACAGAATACTTCTCAATCTAGCTTTAAAAGTAATTAAGTTGGATTTAATAAACACCAACACCTTCAATTTCAAGTCTTCTATATTAGAATGCTGAAGCTATCAGAAACATTATTCAAGCAAATTAAACAATATCTAACAAGCCCATCACAATTGTGGTAGGCAAACTCTAATGTGGCCCCCATGTCCTTCACCTTCTGGGAGTTACCCTTGTGCAGTCCCTTCCTTTTGGCTGTGGGATGGGCCTATTAACTTAGTCTAACAAATGAAATATGAAAAAGTGATGGAATGTCACTTTCAGGAATTGCCTAGGAAAAGTGGCACCCATCATAATCCAAAAAGACACAATCCCAAATGCCATAATCCTGAATGTTGAAATCACAAAAGATTAAAATTCCTGAAGATCAAAATTCCTAAAGTCTAAAATGCCTAATGCCTGCAATCCTGAAATTCACAATCCCAAAAGATTAAAATCCCAAATATTAAAATCCTAAAAGCGAAATTCTGGAGAAAGGATTAGTGCATTTTCAGTTAAATGCAGGGTAGTTGCCTGACTGACTCTCACTCCCCTTCCTCTCTCACTATGTGATCTGCACATGATGCTTAAATCCCTTTGCCTTTCTCCATGAGTGGAAGTTTCCTGAGGCTGTCATCAAAAGCAAATGTCGGCACCATGCTTTCTGTACAGCCTGCAGAAACACCATGAGCCAAATAAGCCCTTTACCCAGCCTCAGGTATTTCCTTACAGCAAGAAAAATGGATAAGGCAACGTTAGAATAGATATTAGTTTATAAGGTAAATGAACAGATGTAGGTCAACCCTCTTATGCTATGTAATTCTCTCCCTTTCTTCTATTGTTTTATCTTCTGCCATTCTTCCTCATCACCTGCAGCATACATTTTTGAAGCTCCATTGCCTTGATTATTTTTTCATTAAAAACAGCTATGCTGCATAGAAATAGTCTGTGTCCCACAGCTATGTCAATCTTTCTCACATAAGAGTTCCTAGTATGGCTTAATCTCTTTAAGATTCACTGAGTCTTAGATAAAAACCTATTGCAGTTATATTCCATTTTTTTAAAAAAGAAATATTTTATAACTGACTTGTAATGCTCCCCTTCATTTTAAAATCTGTTTACTTTCTCAACATTAGAAGTCCACATGATTACATTTGGAAAGATAAATCCTATCCAATCAATAACCTTTAAGTTTTTTATGGATTTATATTCTCTACCAGCTAGCTAAACTGAAAGAAATTTTAAAAACTCTTTTTCACAGAGCATTTAAGGAATTTCGATAAGGTGGCATGTGCACCTAAAAACTGCCCAGCGATTCTTCCACATGAATCTGAACGCAATGAAAAGAAGCATGGCTAAGCGCTTTCGATGACAAACTCTGAGAGACAGACTGCTCAGAATCAAATGTTATTTTTTAATAGTGTCACCGTAGTAACATACTTCCATCCTCTTGCCTATGTTTTCTCGTCTGTGAAATATAGATAACAGGAATATCTGCCTGGGTAGAGTTTTCATAATGATTAGATAAGTTAATATCTCTAAATTGCTTACAATATGGTTACATAGTAAATACCATATGTGTTTGTTAAATAAAAATAAAACAGTGAGGTTTAAAGCTCTCTTAGATGAATTCTTTCAAAGAAAGTAAACCATAAAAAAGAAAGAAGAGCTACTGATAGTCCTGTGTTCTATCTCAGGGTCTTAATTTAAAAAAAAAAAACTGCTTTCAAATGTAGCAGTCTTCCAAGTATATTTATGTCCAGGAGAAACACAGTGGGCACTCCAGCACTTCCCTGGAGACAACAGCAGTTGAAACAGGTGGATACTTGAATGAATTATGTGAATAAATCAGAATCAAACCTACTATGCTCTAATGTAATAATTTGGATGCCAGTGAAACTTGGAGATTGTAAAAAGGCAAACTTTAATTCAGGATTTCTAGCCAGTAAGCAAATGTCAGTTGAGCTGAAAACTTATTTGTACATTTGTTCATTCATTTAGCACGTACTGAAATCCAGTTCTTTTGAAACAAAGGTGAATAGTTGCTGGTTTCAAGAAACTCATTCTAGAGAAAGAAGGAAGTATGCAAAGAAATCAGACTGTGGTAGATGCACTGATGAAGACATACAGCAGATGTAATGATAATGTAGTAAAAGGAGGATACTGTGAATGGGATAATAAAGGCAGGCCTCTAAAAAGAAATAAAAACCTAAGGACGTAAAAGAGTAAAGGTTGGAATGAAAGGTGTGGTCAGGGGCCATTCCAGGCAGAACAATCATGCTCTGCAAAAGCAAGGACAAACACACACATGTAGCACAGCAGAAACAAAAAGAAGCTCAGAGTTGCTGTTTGAGGAATGTACGGGAGAAAGTGGTGGAAAAGAACCCAGAAAGAAAGACAGTGGGGAGGGTCTTGAAAAGCCTTGTGTACCATGGTGAGAAATGAATAGTTCTTCTTATAGGCCAAAAAGCGTTTCACAAAAAATGGACTACCAGTCAAATAAGCTTGGGAAATACTGAAAAGAACATCCCCTTGGATAGTACATTACATGTAAAGGCTCTAAAAAATCACAATGAAATCATTTTTCAAAATTATTTGAATTGTTAAATTGCAATGGGATTCCATTTTCTGGAAATAAGTATTCCCAGAAACACAGTTCAGAAAATATTATTTAGGCAATGGAGGGTTACTTTGCTTTTGATGTGGAAGGCAGATTTGATAAGATAAAAGATTAGTCAAGGAGACGGGGCAGGAAATAACTTGACCACTAAGTAAGGAAATGGTAGTAGGATGTCAATAATAAAATCATTAGAAGGCAGAAGGTGAACTAAGAGGGAGGGAACAGAGTTTAAAGTGACCCAGGGGCTTTATCATTTATCACCCAGCAAGTACTTGCTGTCTGCCTTTAATGCGTTAAATACAAAAAAAGGTTCAGACAAATTCTGAAAAAGAAATATAAAAGAGAAATTGTCCTCAAGGAACTTATAGATAGGTAGTGAATAGGTAGATAGGCAGAGAATGCCAAATCCAAGACAGAGCAAAATTTGTTAGACTGGCACGATTTCTTCAATGGTCACAGACTTCGCGTTCTAAGCCAGTTTTTCAGTCCCTGTGGTGCCCCACTCCTCCTCAACATCCCATATTAATGCCCTTAACATTCCTTTTCCCACTGCACTTCTTTTACCAGAAAAGATTCCATTCATTTACACCTAAGTATGAATTTAAATAGATACATTTTTCTCACAAATATTTCTAATTTAAACCTTAGTACTGGTACACATTTATGGCTTTACCCTTTGGACATAAATTACCTCAACAAAGGAAGGAAGTGCAAATGCTTGAGGAAAAAGAAAATGTCTGAAGTGTCCTAAAAACCACAGGGCACAGGGGATGGCCTACACCTTGTTAAGGATAGTTGTGGGTCTGCAAGCAGAAAAACTGTAACAGCCAACCAACCTTCCTCCAAACACCTGTGAAGTATACCTCACAGCATCTTTTTCCCAAAATGCCTGGAAATAAGAACAACGAGATGAATATTTTCTCAAGTGTGAACGACTATTATTTACTGTAGAATAGACGGAGAAGTTTGTTTAACATATGCAGATTCCCAGATTTTCTCCCTGGGAATGTCTAGGTTGGAGCCCAAGAATCTAAATTTTTAAGCAACACCCCTGAATGATTCCTTATTAACACCAAAACCTAAGAATTATTAACTAAATAAAACACATGGAAATTATGTTAGATGAAAGGCTTAATAGAAAATATAGGCAAACAACATTTCATTAATTAAATTTGGGGCTACTTTTCTTAGCAGTGGTAGAGAAACCAGAAAGCAAATTTCATTCTGAAGTTGTCTTATATAAGTTAATTATAGAGGGATTTACCGCTGTTTCTCAGAATGGACTTAGATTCAGCCTGGAACACTTTTATTATTTTGATTTAAGAAAGGATTTAATTTAAATCAACACAGTTTAAAAACAGCTAGTCAATGTAATCAAATTTTAACCCAAAAAAGGTATTTCATTAATTGACATTACCTCTGTCTATTGTTCACAAATTTGAAATAGATCTTTTGGTACAAAACATAAAATGTAAATGGTAACATAATTATTTGGAAATACTTTTACAACAACATCACAAAATTGAATGGCTAATTATTTTGTTTGCCATAGATTAATATGAGACTGTGTGAGAAAAAAATAAATTTAAAAAACAGATTTATTTTTTAATATGATAAGTGAATTGCGTGAATTTTGGATTTTTTCCATCAAAAAAGAACAGATATTGTTTTTAAAAGCTTGCAGGTTAAATGTAAACTTTTATAGAGATAAATACTCTGTTTAAGTGTTGCATAAATAATATCTGCCCAGGTGAATATAAAAAATTAAAAATATATTTTAGCTTGTTAGTTGCCTTCATCTTATTCCTTTGTTTACTCTTATTAGAAAGAGAAGATCAGATTTTACTTTCTCAAAATCCAATTTTGCAGTTTCGCATTCATTTAAGCAATACTCCTTATTCCTGGCTAAACAAAAGGATCATCAGGGTTCTTTTTAAAACACACCAGTGCTCAGGCTCCACCACAGACCAATTTAGGGGGTAAAGCTGTACTACTCTTTGTTTTTCTGTTTGTTAGTTTGTTTCGTTGTTGTTGTTTGTTTTGTTTTGTTTTTTGTGATGGAGTCTCGCTGTGTCGCCAGGCTGGAGTGCAGTGGCACGATCTCGGTTTACTGCAATCCCCGCCTCCAGGGTTCAAGCGATTCCCCTGCCTCTGCCTCCTGTGTAGCTGGGACTACAGGCGTGCACCACAACACCGGCTAAGTTTTTGTATTTTTAGTAGAGATGGGGTTTGACCATGTTGGCCAGGATGGTCTTGATCTCCTGACCTTGTGATGCACCCACCTTGGCCTAGCAAAGTGTTGGGATTACAGGCGTGAGCCACCGTGCCCAGCCCTACTGTTTGTTTTAAAAACTCATTAGGTTATTCTAACACCTTGCCAAGGTTGAGATGTTCATTTTATAGGAAAGAGACATCAGTTCTATACATGAAAAAGATTCTATTGTTGTTAGATCGGCTTATCACTTGAATAGCTTCAATTATTTCAACCCAGCTGTATTAAGTTGCTCTCACCTGCTCATTGGTGAGGGGGTAAGGGTACGCATGTGTTGGGATTTGTTTGTCTGTTTTCTTGTTTTTACCATTAATAATAAATACAAATTTCTGAAAGTTTCACTGTTCATACCAATCTATCTCAGGATTGATTTTGCTTGCAATCACAGTCAAATTTCCCCTTATATATCCAAATTGTCCCTGCCATGAAATATGAGTAAGAAAAAAAGAGCTGAACATAGCCCTTGACTTGTTGTTAGGCATTCATAACATTTATCTTAAATGGTTTTTGAATATATTGTCTGAAGTACCTAAAACTTGAAGACATAACACACTTTAATTAAAATTAAAACACAGATCATTTCCGGGCTGGTATGCTTTGGTTTCATATATTAAAACAATAGTATGCCTAAAATAATATAGAAGACTAATGATTTTTAAAAATGTGAGAATAAAATAAAAACATATGAAGTGCAAAATTTTAGTTGAAATATATGTATAATATAATCCCGGTTTTACTGGGAAAACTGTGCATCAATATATGTGGGCAAAAGACAAAGAACAGAAAATGAAGCGTTTACATGACTCATTTCTAGGTGATGAATGCAAGTGATCTTATTATCTCTACTTTCCAAATATTCCCTCAATGAAAACTATATTAACTAGGAAGCCAGATTACTTCCAAACTAGTTTTCTAAGCCAAATGATTCATTTAAAAAAATTATATTAGGTTCATTTTCTAAAAATATACTATATGTTATTTTCATTTAAAAAATAATGTAAAATTACTTATTTTACCTATAATTTTCTAATTGTTAAATTCTCAAATTAGAAGAGAAATGTTTTTGCCTATTTTTACTTTAGGAGACATGATGTAAGTTGAGTTGATTTGGCTTATGCATCTTGGCTGGATTCACACATATGCAGAACCCAGGAAGACAAATATGTTCAAGAAGATGTAGCAAAACATCCACATGCCAACTTTCATTTTTGTCTACCCATTTCCTAACTTTTCTCATCTCTTTTTCTTCTTTGCTTTTCTCTCATTTTTAATTCACATGCTAAAAAGCAAATTTTAATTTTTGCACTTTATTAAATGCTATTGGATCAGTGCCTGCCATGTGCTAAGCTCCTAACATATAAGAAATAAGTTATGCATCTTTTCTTCTTTCAGAGCTTATATGGTAGATATGAAGCGATATTTAAATCACTAGTGATTTCTCTATTTTTATAGAGTAATAGAAAAAATGTTGTTTAATAATTATTCTTAAGACCTCATAATTAAGAAAAAAATCTGCTTAATAATGTGAAATATAATTAGCATTTAGAACAAAAATAGGTCAAGTAATTTGATTTTTATGGAAAGAACTGTAGGGTAAGGACAAAGGAGGTTTAAAGGTGAGAGAGAAGAGTAAAATTGTTGTAAATGAAGTAGAGGAAATTAAGGGATTTTAGACATTTCATCAGAGACATCCTGCGTGGTTCAGAGCCGACTAAGATTTCTCTCTTAAATTTCTTTCTGCAATTATGTCGATTCAAGTTAGTTAGAATGGTAGTTACCGAACAGCCAATTTGCATTAATTCTTTTGAATAAAAGACATTCATACATAAATCTCTAAAACCTAATTGCTCAGAAAATCCTGTCCTTAATAACTGTGGGTTAAGAAAAACATATTTAGGAAGTTTTTTAATGACATGCAATAATGCACATAATATTAACTGAAAAAGTGGAATACAAAGTTACAAATAAGGTGAAATCACAACCATTTAAAAATAAATGACTGGGTGCACTGGCTTATGCCTGTAATCCCAGCACTTTGGGAGGCAGAGGCAGTAGGATTGCTCAAGGCAAGGAGTTCAAGACTAGCCTGTGCAACATAGCAAGACCCCTGTTTCTACAAAATAGATTTAAAAATTAGCCAGGCATGATAGTGCACACCTTTAGTCTCAGCTGCTCAGGAGGCTGAGGCAAAAGGATTGCTTGAACCCAGGAGTCTGAGGTTACAGTGAGTAATGATTGTGCCACTGCACTCCAGCCTTGGTGACATAGCAAGAGTCTGTCTCTAAAAAAATAAATAAATACATAAATAAATAAAATTAAATGTAAAAATTTAAATATCTTAATGAAGTTAAAAATAAATGTATACATCTAGGAAACTGACTGGAAATGAATATACTAAAATTAGTAGTTGTTAAAAAGTGACTCTGAGTAGAAGAATTAAACATGATTTTTAGACTATTTCTGCATTATTTCCTATTTTCTAAAATGCTTGTTTCAAAAAAAACAACACTAGCGGTTCATTAATATAGTAGTACTAAAAGTATATACAGTTAGTGATGTAAAATAAAGCTAAAATAAGAAAATGTAAGCTAACAGCCCTAGACCAAATTATGACAAAAGACTTATTTAGACATGCTGAACTTAGAGATTAAAAATCAATACTACTTAAAAACAAATGAAACAGTCAATAGGGCAAACTAGAATTTAATGAAGATACTTCACTTTCTTAATCATCTTTTTATAGATAGAATTAGTCCCATAAAATGAGGGGAAAAATATACAGTTTGTGAGATCAAAATCGAAACACTTAGAAAACAAGAAACAGTGTAAGGTCTAGAGGTACTACTTCTCAAACATGTTGATGAAAACTCACTTGTTTTTAATGGATCATTGATGGTTCCCAAAATGAGGTCTTGACTGATGCACTGAGGCTGTCTATTATACCTTTTTTTTTTTTTTTTGAGACAGAGTGTTGCTCTGTAACCCAGTTGGAATACAATGGCGTGATCTCGGCTCACAGCAACCTCTGCCTCACAGGTTAAAGCGATTCTCCTGCCTCAGCCTCCCCAGTAGCTGGGATAACAGGCACACACCACCATGCCCAGCTAATTTTTCATATTTTTAGTAAAGATGGGGTTTCACCAATTTGGCCATTCTTGTCTTGAACTCCAGACCTCAGGTGATCTACCCACCTCGGCCTCCCAAAGTGCTGGGATTACAGGCGTGAGTCACCACGCCTGGCCTATTATACCATTTTAAGGTGAAAAATGAAACAGACACAAAATAATAATCAGAATGAAAGGTGATGTGGGGGATTGCTTTAGTCCTACTGATGCAGGACAGGTGACTCCCAAAGTAGAGATTAGCTGGCAAGGGTTCTTGGTTTTGCCCAGGAAATAATTCAAGGGCAAGCCAGAGGTAGAAGAAACAGCTTTATTGAAGAGACAGTCTTACAGCTCCTGCAGTGTTACAGCTCTGTGACTGCTCCCGCAGAGCAGGGATACCCTGTAGGCAAAGAGTAGCCACTCAGGGCAGTTTTGCAGTCATATTTATACCCACTTTTAATTGCATGCAGATTAAGTGGTGGCTTATGCAGAAATTTCTAGGGAAGGGGTTGTAACTTTGAGGTCATTGGGCCATTGCCATGGCAAGGGGTGGTAACTGGTTGTTGCCATGGTAATGGTAAATTGACATGGCACACTAGTGGGGGCGTCTGATTGAAAGCTGCTTTTGCCCTGGCTCTGTTTTAGCTAGTCCTCAATCTGGTCTGGTGTCCGAACCCTGCCTACTACCTTCACTACCTCCCTCTATCTTAGGTAAGAGCTTGTATTTAAATATTTCCTCACATGGAAACCTATTAAGTAAAAATGTCTTTCTACATTCTCTCTAATGACTTCTCCAAAGTTATACAAAAGGGAGATGCACTTTAACGAAAGCTTCAATCTATAAAACAGGCCTTCAACTATTGCTTGAGTTATTGTGAGCACAATAAGACTAATCTTTTTTTAGGCTTCTGTTTTTTGCTGTTCATGCTCTAGCTTGTTGGTTTATTCTTAAAATTTGGCACCCAAAACTAAGGATTACTTCAGATATGGTCCTACCAGCAGGACAGCTTTTACAGAAAATGTATGCTAAATCCCCACAAATACTCTAAGTCACAAATTTCACCATACCATATAACCATCACAATAAAATTCTTAATGCACTCTTGGATATATATGCACACACATTCATTGTGAAAAAAAAATGGAGCATGAGGTGGGTTATAGGAAGAATAAATGCTTTGGAATTAGCTGGATGATAACTTTCAGAAAACAAGGATAGTTATGTGGAACAGTGACAGGTAAGTCTGGTCACTGAATAAGGGCCAGATCTTGAAGGGTCCTATACTGACTGTTCAGAAACCATAGAGAGCAAATAAAGAATTTTACATAGGAGACTGTCAGGATAAGATTGATGTATATAAGACTCACTCTGATGGCTGGGAAAAAATATGGTTTGAATGGTGGCAAAACAAGAGGCAGGGGGGATTTATTGGGAGATTGTTGCAATCATCTATTCAAAAATGATGACATTCTAATCTAAGATGGTGAACTTACAGAAAATGGTCAGAGTTGGGAAGTATACATACAGAATTAGAGTCAAATTTGATGTGTTCTCTGAGGGAAGCAGAGGCATTAAGGACTAAGTCAGGCTTTATATATATATATATATATATATATATATTTCTGAGAAAGGCTAGTGATATTTTAATTTTGCAAGGTTAAGCTAATCAGCATAGGCAATAAGTTTTACTAGTCAACAAAAGCAGTCATATCAATCCACTGGTAATTAATATCCAAAACAGCTAAAAAGCATTTTACTGAAAGCAAAATGTTTAGAGAAAATAGATATTTATAATAAATTATAAAATGTTTACAATAAGAAAAAGCATATTTAAAGGAAAACAAATTTATTTTAACTTATAGAGCCAGTTAAAGCCTTAAAAATTTAAGTAGAAATTGAAATATGTGATGGTCATTTACCAAGAGAGTAAATCCGCACCATCTTAAGTAGATATTCAATAGGCACCTGGATATATAGGCCAGGGTTTAGAGTGAAATCTTGGCTCGAATTTCATACACAGTTACTAAAATTATATAAGTTGGCAGTTGAAGCCGCATGATCCTGTAAAATCTGAAGATGGATCACTTCCTGTGAAGTAAAATTGGTTCTTTTTAATGTCTTTCCATCTGCTTTCTCATTGGCATTATTGGCAACTGAGTATCAGACTTCTACTCCTCACAGCATCCATTCTGGAGAATACTAACTTTAATGAAAATTTTATTCATGTCTGAATATTCCAAAATTACCTCTTGTAATTTTTTAAATGACTTGGTCAATTTCTTAAAAACATCAATTCACTGCTATACCACAAGTTTCCTGTGGGTCAAAGTTAAAAGTACAGTAATAGTTTATTTGCTCTTGTTACACGTGGAGCCAGAAAAATCACAATGTCAATTTCCTTCTCCATGATTCACAAAATACTCACACAGCCCTGGCTTCCCATAAATTGTTTAAAATGCCAAGTGTTCAGAAAAAAAAAATCACCCACCTCATTTTTGTTAAACCTGCAACAATAGTTCTAAAAATTCACTATAGAATTAATATCCTCTGAGCATCTCCCAGTATGAAGTAGTCCTTGGTTATTATAATCAACCACCACCTATTCTAGAATATTTTCATATGATGCTGTTCTATGGTGAGTCTCGTTGCTGTTGCCACCCAGTATGAGGAGAATGTTCTCTCTAGGGACCAATTTGTAGTTTGAGTCTTTTACATTTCAGTGCAAAATTCCCTTGGATTAACTCCAAGAAAAACTAGCCCTAGGCAAGCTACTGCTCTCCAACATTTAGTGATATTTATGATTACTAGTATACTACAGTTTGTGGTTGAGTGCATGTGCTCTGTAGCCAAACTGCCTGGTTCAAATCCCAACCCTTCCATCTTCAAGCTTTGTGATCTTGAGCAAGTGACTTGATTCTGTATACCTCAACTTTCCTATTTATAAAGAAGAGATAATAATAGGATCTACTTCTTGAGATTATCCTAAAGAGTATATTAGCTGGCATGTGGAAAGTGCTAAAATAATACCTGGTTTATTGTATTACATAAGGGTTAACTATTATTTTTATTATTTGTAGTTATTAGCATTATTTTACCTATCCATCCACCTTTGAGGTAGGATTCCAAATATCTGGTAAGCTATTATCAAAAGAAATGAAAACACTTAACTTACTAATGTTGTCAGCTTTCTAGAGTGAGAGAAAAGGATGGGGGTGAAGCATTTCTACTTAATCCTTGTCAGCTGGAAACAATGCTAAACTTTTGTTCTATTATGGTGCCTGTACATTCGTAATATCAATCAATAATTTAAAGATATGTAATGAATATTTTATGAGTTATAGCTGTGGTCAGTCACTAATAATTCCCAGTTATGTGTAACTCCAGTAAATATTTAATGTCGTTAGCCAAAGATGAACAGGGTGGGGAGGAAAATATCATTGGCAAGTAGAAGTACAGTTTATTTCAAAGTAAAAACCGTTCCATGTCTCTAGAAGAATCAACCATTAAATACCATAAGGCAATCAGCTTTGAATTGCCCCAGCACCACTAGAGATATGGTTTTGTTAACGGTACCATTACCAGGCATTTATTGTGGTGGTGTTCACTTGCAAAGTGGCCTCTTCTGCTCAAACAGCCACCTCTCATCTTTAAAGTCACTCGAGGAAATTCTGGGTGCTGATTTTCAACCCTCTAAGGGTCTTTCAATGTCTTAAACTGCATGTTCTCACTTGCAGGTGGGAGCTCAATGACGAGAACACATGGACACATGGCGGGGAACAACAACACTGGGGACTGTCAGAGGGTGGGAGTAGGGAGGAAGGGGAACATCAAGAAGAATAGCTAATGGATGCTGGGCTTAATACCTGGGTGATGGGATGATCTGTGCAGCAAATCACAATGGCACACGTTTATCTATGTAACAAGCTTGCACTTCCTGCACATATACCCCTGAATTTAAAATTTTAAAATACTTATTTAATATATAAAGATATTTTGCAAATAACAGAAAATATAACTTATATTGTTTATAAATGTTATTACTGAAACACTCAAAGGTAGGATTAACGTCAGGTATGCCTTGTCACACTTTTAGCTCCATCTCTCTTCATTTCTCTCTGTTCCAGCCTCATCTATGTACATGTGACTTTCAGTCTAGTATTGATCATGGTAATGAGACGTCTGAAACAGTATCGGGTGCTACCACCACACAGAACTATCTGGATAATTTCTCTTCCCCAACCATGAATTAAAAGCTCTGAGTTTCACTCGGGACCAATTTGGATCACATGTTCATCTCTGATCAATTACTTTGCAAAAAGGAGTGATTTTATTGACTAGGTGTGACTACTACACAATAGGACAAAGAATGAATTATAAGAAGGCAACGAATCATGAGCACTATAATCATCTGTTTTTTTATATGAATGGTGTCATTTCCAGTTTAATTGCATTTACATTTCTATGCTTGGTATTATATATCAAATATTAAGTATTTTAAGTCTGTTGTAAATTCAGATTCTAACCAATTACTGGATATTAAATAGCAGTACCCCCCACCAAAAAATACATTTCCTTTTTTTCTCCACCAATCAATGGAAATAATAGCTTTAACACTACTATTTCAGTTAGCCACTATTATGGAGCCAGGTCTGAGATTCCTATTCCTATCAAAAGTGTGATTTCCTTGTATTTAATGCAGCCAAATTACCATCAGTAGGATAAACACAGGGCAGGGTTTTCATAAATGTCGTTAAGGCTCTAGCTGAGCCAGCTGTCCAGTTTGAGTATAAGCTACATCAGTAAAAGTTCTCAGATCTAGTACTATTTATAGAGTAATTCTTGTTCAGATAATGAAAACTGATGGTTAAAAGGGTATATATTTTAAAAGCATTTAGAATATACTGTTTTAACTTAATATTTGATGTATCTAATGATATTAATTATTTTAAGTTATTGAGAAGAAGAAATACTTTTCTTCCGGAGTTTTGAACATTTTACCAAAATATTATTGGTTCATTCAACTGTAAGTCATAAAAATATATAACATATAATTGTACCTATGATTTATTTGAGTAATGCATAAGCAATATTTGGCTCTGGATTCAATTTTGTAGCTTCTTTATATTTATTTTTTCTGTCAATATATATAGGATTTCTATTTATTTTTCAGAACATTAACTATAATTATTTCTTATGTGTTACCTTCAGGAATCTCTAATTGACTCAAAATCAGTTAATATGCTGAAATGCTAATTAGTTTTTTGTTCAGAGTTTACCATAGCACTATCATCTCAACTGATATTTCTCACCTGTATTTATCAAAGGCTAAAGTAGTAGTTTAAGTTTATAATAAAAATACATTATGAAAATCTTCGTTTAATAAATCTTAATGATTCTCTAAGACCTGCTTTCTTGTCTTGTATGTTTTTCAAAACTGGCAATTTTTGCCTGCATCACCTTTTAAAACAATCTAGAACTCTTTATTACATGAACTGAATTTAAAATGTAACATTGACGAGACAAAAAATTTTCTCGGTGCCTTCAAGGTTTTGACATTGAGTTGTGAAAGTGTGTTATCTAAAAAGGCTTTGACTTTTTATGTAAATTTATTTTTTTCATGTTTCTTTGAATAATTCAGAAGTCACCCATGTTGATTTTTGTGAGCTATAATCAACTGCTAAATATAAAATATTTATGTTTTTGAAGTTCTAGAATTTGCTGATTTTTAAAAAAATAGCAATTTTGGATACAAGCTGCATTGCTACAAGAGGTTGCTATGATTTCTTCTTTGAATTTCTGATTCTAAATGTTGCATGCTCTGATTTTGTGCCATTATTTTTGTAAGAAAATGTGACACATTCTCATTTAGACCCAATTCTTCAATTTTGTAGAGTTGCTCTCTAATCCAATTTTCTCTATTGATGAATGACTTTAAATCTTCTGTAAGTCTCTGAGCAGCATACATATCAGCAGATAATTGCTCCCAGTTAGTGTTTAATATGTGAATCCCGTAAGTTTTGTTTTTTTCCAGCTTCTATATCAAACTCAATTTGTTGACAACATCTGGGCCATATTTTTGTTGCAATGGCAGGGCCTTTTTGAATATGGTTGATAAAATTTTTACTTTATCTCTATTGCATAAATCACATCCATAATGGATCAGTTATAATTTGAGTTTGCATTTATTTAAAGTAGGAGAAAAAATTAGACACTCATAAAAAACCTGTAAGTGGAATTAGAGATTGTTATTTTTTATAGTGCTCTAATCCCACACATAATTCAAAAACGTTTTATATAGCAAATTGATTTACATGTCTTTACGAACATGTAACAGTTTTTATGCCAACAACTCTCTTTTCCCACTCATATATTATTGTTTTTCACTATTAATTAAAACAAATGATTAAATTAGTAAATAAACAACTGTTGTGGCAGGCAGACTCAATGATGCCTTCAATGATTTCAGTCTCCTAGGATTCATTCCTTGTATAATTTCTTCCCCTTGAGTCTGAGCTATCTAGTGTTTTGCTTCTAATCAACAGAATATGACAAAGGAAAAGGGATGTCACTTTTGTATTAACATACATAAAACAATGTCTCCTGTCTTGCTTTCAGATGCTATTGCCTTCTTAGCTTATGTGCTTTAATGAAGCTAGCTGCCATATTGGAGAAACAAACATGACAATGAACTAAGAGTAGACTCCATCTAATAGCCAGCTAGAAACCAAGGTCCACATTTCAGTGACTCTCAAGCAAGTGAATTCTTCCCACAACTGCATGAATTTGGAAGCACATCTTTTCCCAGTTGAGCCTTCACATGAGACCTAATCCTGGTAAGTAACTTAAATGCAGCCCTGTCAGAGACTCTGAAGGATAGCACCAGGTTAAGCTGCACTCAGACCTCTGACCCACTGGAACTATAAGACAATAAATATGTGTTGTTTTGAATCATTAAATCTGTGGGGATTTGTTACAAACCAATAAAAATCTAACACTGTTGCCATAAATAAGTTTGAGAAAAATCAAAGCTATCTGGATAAGTTCAACTAACAAAGGCAGAGTAACTGATATGCCAGGGACTAATTCACTACAATTGTGCAATCAGGATCTTCAGTCATTGGTTCTTACAGAGCGAAAGGACAGCATTGAATTCTGGTAAGTCCATGAGGTAGAGGCATACTGAAAGTTTTAAGCACTTTACAAAATGAGCTCATTCATACAAAAGTGTATTGAGCACCTACTAATTTACACAAACCTAGAAACTGGCTGTGCAATGAAGACCAAGAAAGACAAAATCTCTGCTCTTGTGGAGCTTACATTCTTGTTAGGTGTACAGTAAAAGTAAACAAAACTAAAAAGGATTTCAGAATATAAGTTCCATAAGAGCAGAAATTTCTCTCCTTTTACTGTTGTGTTACTTTCAGCCCCTTCAACAGTGCCTGACACATTGTAAGTGCTGAAAAAAAAATTCTGTAAATAAATATTGGTAGTAGTAAATGAAATGAAGAAAACCAAGATAGTATAATGAAATAGAGTGACTAGAATTGTTACTTTAGATGGAAGAGTTAGAAGCCTAGCAGAGAAGCTGATATTTGAGTCGAGACCTGAATGATGAGATGGAGGCAGCCTCTTGAAGATATAGGAAAAGAGGATTTTGAAGAGAGAAAGTGACAAGAGAAAAGACTGAGGATTTCATGTGCCCCCGTGGCTGGGGCAAAGTTCACATGTAAGCAAAGCAAATCAACCTGTCCAACTATTAAACCAATGAAGCTATAAACAATTATACTTCCTGAGGAGTCCTTTAACATAAGCAGAAAATATCTTTAGAATAGTCAAATACTCCCCTAAAATTACAAATAACTTTCCTTTGTGAGAGTGATAGGAAACATAGTTAATGCCTACTATGAGTTTAAATAGCTTCTAGTTAAGAAAGTCATTAGCATTATGATTTTGTAAACTGAACATTCATTAAAGTTGTACCTTAATATGAGTGTGATTTTATTGTCATTAATTTATTTTCTTTCTAATTTATCATTCTAATGTAATACAGCATTCCCACTCATCATTTCATTTGTACTTTTTCTAAGAATCATTTTCTTAAGCAAAGAGGCAAATGAGAAGGTTAATGTAACACTGGAGTTGTTTATTACATAAGAAACTTCTCTACGTCTCAGAATGATAATTCTAAAAATATTTTCATATATTGTCTTTGCTCTTATGCAAGTTTAACAAAAATTTCCGTAGAACAAGGAAATTCAGGGGTTTTTGACTACTAAAAATATAATTTGGCAAGTTTTTCAGGAAAAATATTAGAACTGAAAAAAATGAAATTTTTTAAATCTACCACCCTGTTCCAAGAAGAGCTGCATTATACTTCACCCTGACTAGATCTGTAGCAACTCTATTTGATGGACTTCTTTTTCTGTTTTTATTTTTTAACTGATACATTGTAATTGTACATGTTTGGGGGTACAATTTGATGTTTTGATACACATCTATGTTGTATAGTGATCCAGTTAGGGTAGTTAGTGTATTCATCACTTCGTGCATTTATCATTTCTTTGTAGTGACAATATTCAAAAGCCTCTCTTCTAACTATTTTTTAATGCACAATATTTTATCATTAACCACAGCCACCGTACTATGTGATAAAATACCAGAATTATTTATTCTATCTAATTACAACTTTGTAGCCTTTGACCAACCTGTCCTCATCTTCCCCTCCCTTCTCCTTACCTTAGTCTCTGGTCATTACTGTTCTACTCACTGCTTCTGTGATATCAACTTTATGTTTTCAGAGATTCCACATATGAGTGAGATCATATGGTATTTGTCTTTCTGTGGTCTGGTTTATTTCACTTAATGAGACATCCTCCTGGTTCATCCATGTTGTCACAAATGACAGGATTCATTCTATTTTATGGCTGAATAGCATTCCATTATGTATATATGCCAAGTTTTTTGATCCATTCATCTGATGTAGTCCATACCTTGGCAATTATAAATAGTACTGCAATAAACATGGGAGTGCAGTTACCTCTTTGATATACTTATCTCATTTCTTTTTTATGTAAACCCAGTAGTGAGACTGCTAGATTATATTGTAGCTCTATTTTTAATTTTTTGAGGAATGTTCATAGTTTTTCATAACAGATGTACTAGTTTACAATCCCACGAAAAGTGTGTAAGTGTTCTTTCTCCACATCCCTTGTTTGCCAACACTTGTTTTCTTTCCTCTTTTTAGTATCTCATTGTGATCTTGATTTGCCTCTGACGATTAGTGATGTTGAGTATTTTTTCATATACCTGTGGCCATTTGTTAAGTCTTCTTTTGAGAAATGTCTATTAAGGTTTATTTGCTCACTTTTAAATGGGTTTTTGTTTTTCTGTCATTGAGTTGTTTAAGTTTCCTACGTATTGTAGATGTTAATTCCTTGTCAGATGTATAGTTTGCAAATATTTTCTCCCATTTTGTCAGTTGTCTCTTCACTGTTAGTTTCCTTTGCTTTGCAAAAGCTTTTTAGTTGATGTAATCTCATTTGTTTATTTTAGCTTTTGTTGCCTGTGCTTTTGAAGTCTTATTTTAAAAATGCTTGACAAGATCAATATCATGAAGTGTTTCCCCTGTGTTTTCTCCTAGTAGTTTTATAATTTGGGGTTTTTCGTTTAAGCCATTAATCTATTTTCAGTTGATTGTTGTATATGGTAAGAGGTAGAGGTCTAGTTCCATTCTTTTGCATGTAGATTTTGAATTTTCCCAGCACCATTTACTGAAAAGACTGTCTTTTTCCCACATCTCTTCTTGGCATCTTGGTCTAAAATTAGTCAGCTGTATGTGTGTGAATTTATTTCTGGATTCTCTATTCTGTCCCTTCGGTCTGTGTGTCTGTTTTTATGCTAGCACCATGCTGTTTTTATTACTATTGTGTTGTAGTGTATGTTGAAGTCAGGTACTTTGTTCTCTTTGTTCTCTTTGTTCATAATTGTTTTGGCTATTTGGGGCCTTTTGTGGTTCCATATGAATTTTAGGATTGCTTTTTCTATTTCTGTGAAGAATGTCTTTGGTAGTTTGATAGAGATTGCATTAAATCTGTAGATTCCTTTGGGTGGTATGGCCATTTTAACAATATTAATTCTTTTGAGCCATAAACATGAGATATTTTCCAATTTACTTGTGTTTTTCTTTGTCAAAGTTTCATAGTTTTTCATGTAGAAATCTTTCCCCTCCTTGGTTAAGTTTATTCCAAGGAATCCTTTTTTTATGAAGCTATTGTAAGTGAAATTGTTTTTATCATTTATTATTCAGTTAGTTCACTATTAGTGTATAGAAGTGCAACTGATTTTTGTGTGTTGATTTCGTATCCTACAACTTTATTGCATTCATTTATTAATTCTATTTTTTTTGGTGGATCCTTTAGGGCTTTCTATATATAAGTTCATTTCATCTGCAAACGAGGACAATTTAACCTCTTCCTTTCCAGTTTGGATGCCTTATATTTCTCATGCCTAATTCCTCTGGCTAGGACTTCTAGTTATTACATTCAATAGAAGTGGTGAAAATAAGCATCTCTGCCTTGTTCCTAATATTAAAGAAAAAGTCTTTTTAGCTTTTCCCTGTTCAATATGATGTTAACTGTGAGCTTGTCATATATTGTCTTTGTGGTGCTGAGGTACATAACTCCTATACCTATTTTGAGAGTTTTTATCATAAAGGGATGTTGAACTTTGTCAAATATATTTTCTTTCTATTGATATAATCATATGGGTTTTATCTTTCTGTTAATGTGGTGTGTCACATTTATTGATTTGCATATGTGAAACCATCTTTTCATTCTTGGGATGAATCCCACTTGATCGTAGTGAATGATCTTTTTAATATGCTATTGGGTCTAGTTTGCTAATATCTTGTTGAGGACTATTGCATATATGTTTACCAGGACTACTGGCATGTATTTTTCTTTTTTCTTTTCTGGTTTTGGAATCAAGGCAATACTGTTCTTGAAAAAACAAGTTTGCAAGTACTCCATTCTCTTCAATTTTCTAGAATAGTTTGATGATAATATTAGTCCTTCTTTAAATGTTTGATAGAACTCAGCAGTGAAGTCATTGGGTTCTGAACTTTTCTTTGATGGAAGACTTTTTATTACTGATTCAATTTCCTCACTATTGGTCTATTTGGATTTTCTTATCTTCATAATTTATCTTGGTAGGTTGCATGTGTTCAAGAATTTATTCATTTCTTCTATGTTATCAAATTGGTTGACCTACAGATGTTCATAATAGGCTCTTATGATTTTATTTTTATGATATCAGTTGTAATGTCTCTTTTTTCATCTCTGACTTTATTTATTTGAGTCTTTTTTCTTCCTAGTCTAGCTAAAGACAGGTTCATTTTGTTTATCTTTTCAAAAAGCCAAGTCTGTTTTATTAAACTTTTAATTTTTTTAGTCTTTATTTTATTTATTTCTGCTCTGAGCTTTATTATTTCCTTATACCAATGTTGAGTTTTAATATGTTATGGGATTTTTTGTTCCTTAAAGTGCATCATTATGTTGTTTATTCAAAATCTTTCTCTTTTTTTAATGTGGCGTTTATTGTTATAAGCTTCCCTCTTACAACTGCTTTTGCCATGTCCCTTAGGTTTTGTTATTATATATTCCCATTTTCATTTGTCTCAAGAAAATTTTTCTTTGCTTTTTAATTTCTTCATTGACCTATTGATTGTTTAGGAGCATGTTGTTTAATTTTTATGTATTTATAAAGTTTTCAAAGTTTTTCTTGTTGCTAATTTCTAGTTGTATACCATTATTGTAAAGAAAGATACTTGATATAATCTCTCTTCTTAAATTTGTTAATAATTATTTTGTGGGCTAACATATGATCTGTCCTGGAAAATGTTTTATGTGCAATTGAGAAGAATGTGTATTTTGCAGCTGTTGGATAAAATGTTCTGTAAGTTTCTTTTAATTACATTTGGTATATGGTGCAGTTTAAGTTCAATATTTGTTTTTTTTTCTATATGATCTTACTGTTAAAGTTCCTTACTGTTATTTTATTGCACTCTATCTCTCCCTTTAGGTCTAATAATATTCGCTTTATATATCTGCATGCCCCAGTGTTGCGTGCATATATACTTACAATTGTTATATCCTCTTATTAAATTGATCATTTGTTATTATATAACCTTCTTTATCTCTTTTAACAGTTTTCCTGTAGATAGGACCTAGGATGTCAGTTTGTCAGAGTGTCAGGACCTATGGTGTATTAGCTTTGGTTCTGGGTGGACTCAGTAGCATAGTCTCCATGCAGTGTCTTTACCTGTAATCCTCATTAGCAATACCTGTGATTGTTTCAGTGACCTAGGCTATGGAAGCTTGAGATGGCATTGGCGCAGTCTTGCTGTGGTTGTGGGCACTGGGCTGATTGTTGGGCCAAGTGTGTACAGGGGCAAAGGTTGTCAGGCTGTCTGCTGGACTCTCCTGGGAGGCAAATGGTCACTGTTGGGCTGGCTGTCAGGCCAGGCTTAGGTGCACACAGGCATGCATGGGCACAGCTGGCTGGGAAGCTGTGTAGCTGTCTCCAGGGAGGTGGGAATGCCACCAGACTGGATGTTGGGCTAGGTATACATGATTGCAGTATGGTGAGGCAGCCCTATGACAGTCTGTCTGGGAAGTGGAGGTACTGGAGGACCAGCTATCAGGCCAGGTATGGACACATGTAGGCTAGACCAGCCATTTGGCTGTGCAGCATGTGTACACACAGGTAAGGCAGGTGGCCAGCTGGTTAGTGGCTTTGCTGCTATGCAGATCTATCTATTTCCTGGGTTGGGGGCTGCTGCATGGGTTTGGACATTGGGATTTCAATTGTTTGGTATGGCATAGACTTCAGGTGACTGGGGTTATAGTGCTGCAGACACTAATGTGAATGTGGTAAATTGATCATGGGTCTTCCGGATTGAGAGAATCTGTTGCTACTATCCCTCAGGATTAGATGCACTCTAGTAATAAATCCAGTTGCAGGATGGTGCCAAGCCATAGCTTCTTAGGTCATGGGAAGGGGAAGTGCTCAAGGTGAGCTCCTACTCTGGGGCAGTGCAGCTGCATGAACTCCCAGCTAATCAACAAACTGGCTTGGAGCCTGTGAGGACTTGGGTAACTCTCTTGTAGCAGGGATTGCTGGTGTTTGTTGCAGCAACAGGTACTACTGAGGAACTTCAGCTTACGTTTTCCCCCGTGAGAAGTACCCCTGACTCTGAACTCATTCTCACTGGGGAGACAGTGTGGCAGAGGCAGAATGCCTCACTTCCATCTCTATGGTGCTATCCATGGATTCTATTCTGCACAGGGAGTTGTTTATTCATTGTTTGGATCTCTTTCCTTGGCGTGGGAGGGATGATCACCAAGTAACTCTAGTCAACTGTCTTGCTGACATCTCTTCAGGTATTTCAAGAAATCCAGTTTTCTAATGCTTAATTCACTACGTAAAGTCTGTGTAATTCTGTAAGTCATCTAATTTTATGATGTTTTATGTATAATTAATATATAAATTAAGTTCTTTTCTATTTATTTATGCATTAAACTATTACTGGAAAATAGTGGTTCTGATTATTCCCAATTAGAGTTTAAGTTTCAAATGTGTTATCTTAAATATAAACTACACAGTACATTGAAATAATACTTTGGGATATTCTGGAAGACATCTCAAAAATAGCAGATGGCTTCTAGAGTGCTGACCAGTGTGAGATTCCAAAAAGGTAATTATCAGCATTGGTATTTGACACCTGTTATTGAATATTTAATGTAAGTAAAAATAAATGTGAATTACTTTTTTTCTTTATCACAACAATTATCATCATTTTACTAAGAGACATAGAGCGCTAGAAAATGACAAAGCTAAAGCAACCTAGATGAAATCCTCAACCCCTGTTGTAACATTTCCACATCTAAATCAAGGACAGAGAAATGGACATTGTAGGCAAGTGAAATGGAGTGTTGGTTTCTGGCTCTTAAGATTTTTCTACCATTTTCCTTCACATAATGTTTATCTCTCAGCCTTGAAAACCTACAGGTAAATAATGTTCGCTCACCCTGATAGTTATCTCTGACCCCTCTCTTCGGAGTCACTACCAATAACTACTTTTTTTCAGGGAATATTTTACATATTCTCATGCACATAGTTCACTCAGCTATGTCATGATTCCACCATTTTCCATTGACTTAATCTATATCTTCTGCTGAGGCTTTAAATGCCTCTAGAGTGACTCCAAGCCATTGAGTGCTCCAGTCATTTTAGGACTGCAAACACTATTTCCTTTTGATGCTCTGAAGCTTGTCCATAAAAATATGCTTTACCAAAAAGCTTAGAGCTGAGTCTGTATATGGAAAGTGTCATAAAAGGGTTAGCGACCATAAATGTTACTACTATTTCTACAATTACTACTATTTATCATGTTCATATATTCTGGTTAAGCCTTATACTCATGTAATTATTATCCATTCTGGGTTTTACCAGTGATCACAAATAGGGGAATTATCTGCCCAATTTTCTCCCTCTTTTCTCATCAGCAACACACTCAACTTTTAAGCAAGAGTTATAAAATAGTATTAACTTTGGATTCCTGTCTTTCAGAAATGTATGCTTTTATATGTTTACTATATCCTTTCCTGAGGGTTCAGGTTGTAGTTTGTTGGAATAATTTTAACACTGATTTGAATGATATATATTGTACAGTACATTTCACCATCCCTCTCCTACAATTCTGAGATACAACGCTAAGATCACGTTTGTGGGCTTCATGTCTATTTCTTCGAAGTGAGTTTTTTTAAAGATATTTAAGTCCTATTAAAATAAGCCATGAGGAAGCCCTACCCCACCAATGCTATAGAAATAACTGAAAAATGTCTAAATTCTAGAGCTAATATACTTATAAACATTATACTTTAGATAATCATTCTATGAAATAAGAAACTTGCATTGAGTCTTTTTCCTTTTAATTAATATTGAAATTAATGCATGCCAAAATTCTTGAATCCAGTTTCAGCATATCTTCATCCATCCATGACTATGATACTCTGTAAGGATGGCCTTAACTATTGTGTTAGGTCAACCTCACACTCACAACTGCCATATCACTAACTCTAACATTTTCCAACATACCCTATGAAATGTACATTTGCCTGGAAAATAATTACAATGTACTGCATACTATTTGATTCAAAGCCATGCTGTATAACAAGCTCTTTATTTATAAGTTGCTTGAAAAAGAAATCTGCACCAGAGAAAGGTAAATGTTAAAATCACAACTATAAAAAATGATGAGTTAATTTACAAGTAAACATTAGCTATTAGACTAAAATATGTATTTTAGATAATTTAACATGCACAATTAATATTTAATAATGTTATGAGATCTGTTATTTTGTGACCTAATATCCCAGCTGGAAACTGTGGAAACAAGAAAATTCAAGGTCCCACAGTCAATTATTTAGATATGATATGAATGTGAATATCATTCTTCCTTTAATCGAGGGCTAAGAGAAATCTTAAGAAAGCAGGGCATCCATTTTTCTGCCCTGAGGTAGATCTACAAATACTAAAGTAATGCACTGTCCTGATTCTGAAGATGACACTGCTGCCCATTATGAGTGAGTCAGATTATTGCAGTATTTTTCCATTTGCAGTGAGGTTTTTTTTTTCCTATTTTACCCCTTTTTATCAGACAATGATTTACTAGATCAGATTGAAGGTCCCCAAATGCACTGAAATCAGTTAACCCTCTCAACAGAGAATAAACATAAAATCACACCCCAAATCATATTAGAACAGTGATCTGGCAAACTACCCACAAACATGGAGCCCAAGTTATAGTATTCACTTATTTCCTGTAGAAAACAACATTCTCAGTGGGACAGTGAAGCATGTTCTACAATGAAGGATTCACAGTCAATAAATAATGCTATTTCTTTTCCAAGTTTAGAAACAATAAGAAATACAGGTGTCAGAGATGAAAATGGCAAGCATGTTTAGTGGAAACAATAGGCTTACTAATGCTTCACCCTCCATTCACACTCCCAGTGCCTAGCATAATGTAAGGCAACCAAGACTGGGTGTCATGGCGCACATCTGTAATCCTCACATTTTGGGAGGCTGAGGCAGGAAGATCACTTGCATCCAGGAGTTTGAGACCAGCTAGGTAACATAGTGAGACCCTCGTCTCTACAAAAAATAAAATACTAATTAGCCAGGCATGGTGGCACATGCCTATAGTCCCAGCTACTTGGGAGGCTGTGGTGGAAGGATCATTGAGCCCCGGGGGGCAAGGCTGCAGTGAGCTGTGATCATGCTACTGCACTCAGCCTGAGTGACAAAGCAAGACCTGTTTCCAAAAAAAAGGCATTTTATCTCAAGGCAGAGTACTGACCATAGTACATTCTCAATAGGCAGATGAATGCAAAGTTGACTAGTAGTGGCCACACTTCTAGTAATCATTGTATTAATGTTATATCCATCTGCCTATGGATCTCAGCATCTCAGTTCCTTCTGTTAACTCATCAGCCAAAAATATTACTTCCCCCTTTCTGGAATGCAGTAGAAGAAGGAGCTGCAAGAGGCTGGAACTGTTTTTCTCATTCACACCTGTCCTAAGGAAGAAAAAAAAGGGGGGACTTCATCTTCTTTCCTTTAGAAACATGGGGAGTGGAGAATAAATGTTCCTACCTTCAACACTAAACATAAAATACCATCCACTTTCTATTAATTCTCTACTAAAAGGATTGCTTAGTTTATATTTTTTCTTTTATTATCTATGTTCATTTCAATATCTCTTTCATAACTCAACCTCAGAAGGGTGATACATAGAAATCCCAGAAAACAACTGTATCATGGCATAATTAGTAAGTAGTTTACCCTTCATTGATATGAACTTAAAATTCATGTGGCTTAAAGGAGTAGTTTTAAACAGGATAATAATTATAAAATCATATATTAAAGACATATCTATAAAACTGAAATATTTATCCTTGTAAGATTAGCTTTAGCTGAACTGAAAAATAATCTCCTTAAATCAAATATGGCCTTTCCTACATATTTGCTCATAAAATTTTCTGGTAAATTATGATTATTTTAAATTGCACCATATGCATCAAAATTTTTAACACTGAGAATTACAAGTATTGAAGTCTTATATGTTTATACATTTTCCATCAAAGAAGTTTGAAATCCATACATTTTTATTTTAAAAACAGTTTAAATCTATTTCAAACTGAACTTTAGTATTTTTTAAATGAATCTAAATAACTTGCTTTTACTACTAATCCTGGGAGAAAGAGGACTAAGGAAAAAAGTGTTTGACTCTTTGCTTGTTCCCTTTCTGTCACAAATTTACATTTGAATTATCCATCCTATCATCCAATTGACTAGATGTTTCTCCATAGACCATCCAAGACTGACAGAAATCCTCATTTGTGGAGTGAATGAATTATTTGTTCAGGCATGATTCCTCTGCTATCTCAATTTCTGAAATACAGAAAGAGGATAAGCGCTATTAAATAACTATTAATTATACTTGCTCTGTACTCCTTTATAGGTATCTAATTTAATCTGACACACTAAGGAAGGATTAGGAAAATAAAAGTATTCTGCAGTTCATTAATTCTTTGCAAATATAACAGATTTTATAAAAGCATTATATCTTACATAATTTAAAGATTTTGTCAAATCTTTGGAACTATAAAATTATTTGACTCAGTTTTTGGAAAATATTTTCCACATAAACTAAGAGGCCAAATTAGTTCTATTGTCAGACCAGTGGGAGAAGTCAGATTCAACATTTTTTAATAAAAATTAAAACTTTTTTCCTATGATAATGTCTGTATTTTCCATCTCTTCTGGAGTCAGTTTTATAAATAATGTATTCCAATAGATGATACTTTGTGAATATTTATGCCACATTTTAAATGCATCAATTTTTTTTTATCTTAATTTTGAATTGCAACCATTGGCATTATAGAATGATCTTTTTCCTTGTTTCTTTGCCTGTATTTACAGGAAGGGGGCAAACTGTAACTTTATTTTGTCTGCTGGCAAATGCATCCTTCCCTAGGAAACTTTTGTTATATTGAGCTGAAATTTTCAGGGATGTGAAACATAAACTCTGCAAGGGTGTCACTAGAACAGTGATCCGATAAAGTACTCACATATGTGGATTCTCTGTTATGGTATTCACTTACTTGATGTAGATTCCTACTTCTACCCTTTGGTACCTGGACCAGTGTATTTTACCTGTTAATGGCACAGAACTATATATGGCTGCTATTTCAAAATATACACCTAAACTGGATACTTCTGTATACCTTTCAGGGGTCATTCCAATATTTTATCAGTTCTGAAGCTCCTAGTTAATGTGGAAATGGTCACGTGCTCCTTGTTAGACCTTTATTGCAAAGTGGGCCACTTAATCTGAAGCAATGTCATGTGGGGACTCAAAATGTTAAAGCATTCTGCATATCTGAGGCCTCAGACAGTGGTGCTGATTGAGGCACTGAAGGCAAGCAAACTAAACTTATACCAGAAAACATGTCAATCACACAAACGACAAATATCTGCTCCCTCTAACGTAGGCGAAGTCTCAATACCACAGAAGGCTGACTGGTGTCCTCAACTCACTACTGGTCTCTGCTGCTGACAGATCAAGCATTCAGCTACAGAAATAGGCTAAGCGAACCTTGTGACAGGAGACTGATGCTTTAGGGCCTAGGAAAAATGTCCACCCTGCAATCATAATCATTCAATTCACGGTCTTGTAACACAGTCACTGGTATATGCAAGGACAAAGACTAGACAGATCATCATGTATAGCTGATTGTTCAGTACCACCTCTATTTTGAATGTCTGTCATGGGCATTGTTGTGGATGCAAAAATCTTCAAAGTTTGAACTCATTCCCATAAGCCAATCTTTCATAAACAATCTCTCTCAAATCTCCTAATCTTTTTCATTCTAATCTCATGACTGACTAGACAAGCTATTTGTCATAGCCAAGGATTCCACATATATTTTTTATCTCATGCCAATTCTCTCTCCAAACCAAAACCAAACCAAGTGTATTCCTTACAGATAGGCCCATATCTGAGCTAACTCATCCATAAACCAGAGCCAGGTATTTTCCACCTATGTCCTCTGTTTTCAAGAGCCTACTACAAGGCCATAGAACACTGGACCCCATCATGCTACAATGATGACCCTACAAGTCATCATTGTAGCAGGTCCCTAAATCTTAATATGATATATCTTACTTCCTGTACCACATGAATTTTAACACAACACCCAAAGAACTTTCCGCTTCCTGATCCCCAGATAGCATCAAAATGATGTTATCAAATACAGTGAATGAAAATAATGTTCTGTGGAATGTCTAAATCAGTACGATGCAATAGAAATACAACGGGAATACATAAATAATTTTAAATTTTCCAGCAGTCACATTTTAAAAAGCAGAACATGTGAAAGAAATTTAATAATATTTATTACTTAACCCAACATATCCAAAAATATTATCATGTCAAAATGTAACCGCTATAAAAATATTAATTAGATATTTTATATCATTTTTAGTACTAACACTTCGAAATCTGGTATCTATTTTATACAAACAGCTCATCTGAATTTTCACCAGACACATTTCAATTGCTCCATGTGAATATGTGAACTTCCACTTTTGGCCAAAGTGGAGTAACAAGAACCAGAATTACCCTCCTGCTAACTGCCGGACAAAACACATGAAATAATGGTTTTCAGGACCCTGACTACAAGAGAATAAAGGACAGGGATATCTTGGAGATGAGAAACAAATGAAGTTAGCCCTATGATTGCCCCAGCATACTGCCTTGAAAGAGCTTCCAAGACACGCACAAGGAAGGGAAACCCAAGCAGAGTTCAGCAGACTCACTGATTTCAAGAGAAGGCCTAGGAGACTGAGGTGGTCACAATGCTCAGGAAAGAGTACCAAAGAGGAGAATGCTGCACAGAGTGAGATCCATGGGGACCTTCAAAGGGTACCTATGGTTTGACTATTCAGCTGAGTACTGATCAGCACATGTGTGTAAGAAAACTAGATGAGTCAGGCAAATAATCACATGAAAGACTAGAAGAAGTACACACTTACACAGATCCAGGAATAGTGTTTATTTCCACCAGCCAGTTTGAGAAACCTCAAGATTCAATAAGCGTGGAGGGGAATACACAAAAGTATCTTGCTTCAGTAGTGGTAATAATTAGATCTAGAATAAACATTGCTGTGGTTAAGCCTAAAAAAAAACTAAAAAGCAAGACCCCAAAGGATAAAACTATTTCCAAATAATTTCCTTTGTATTTCCAAAGGATCGAAGTATTTCCTAGCTGAACTCCAGGACAAAACATGTTTATAGGACTGAGAAAATATCTGGCTAACAAATGAATACAATTCATAATGTCTGGCCTCAAGTAAAAATTACGAGGCTTGCAGATAAACAATATGCCTTATAATGAGGAGAAAATTAATCCACTGACACCAAACCAGAACAGAAAAATGGAGCAAATTAAAAATCAATGACTTCTCTTACACACATCAGAGAACAAGGTCACAAAGCAAACCACCACCTTGAAATCTGGAGAGACAGGTGCATCCAAAGACATCATATTATATAATCTACTAAGACATATATCATAGAATATACCTTAGAAGATAAAGAAATACAGGTCAAAATTAAAATTATGAGGATCTAATATAATTAAATCATCTGTTTGTATAATTTATAAATATGAGAAGATTAATAAATGTGTCATTTTTATTAATTTTTAAATAAATTAATGTAATATTTAAGTATATTAAATTATTTAGAAGGTGAGGAGTATGATAAAAAGATATGGTATCTCTTTAGTAAATGTGCATGTGTATATAGAACTCTATTAGTTGCCTTTGGAGATTACTTCAATAAAACCTGAGAATAAAAATCAAAAATAACTCCATTAATTTTTTTCACACATCATGAACAAATAGTACTTTTATATTTAATGAAAGACAAAGATATGGGTAACTAAAAACGAAGCAGTCTGGTAGTTAGCATAAATTCTAAGTTTCACTAATAAAAACTAGAAAATATTAAATATTTTCTGAGGTAACTGAAGATGATTGATACATTTGTATTGATATCTTATCGTACAATTATTAAAATATATCTTGGCCACCTTGTAGCACACACTGACTTCACAAGAAATTACACAAAATTTTTTCTATGTATTGTGTTGAATGTGCTGTCAAAAATTTCAGTATTCCAAAATCACTCTAATTACATTTGAATGAGGCAGCATCACTAGTCCATAACATTTTTTAGCAATTAATATTAAGAATAGGCAAGTATTCATTATATTTAATTTTATGTAAAGTGTCATTTTTAGCATTCTTATCATTATTCTATTTGCTTTGCTCCAAAGCCAGATATTTTTTAAAATAGTCAAGGGATTAAAGAGACAAAATTGCTGATTGAAACTTTCTATTACTTTTATCACCCCACTCTACCCCGTAACTTAATTCAGATATAGTCTAATGTGCTAATACCTTATTTTTAAAGCAGTGTTTTATACTTAACAGAAATATATATCAGAGGGAACGATAGGTTTTTAAAACTATTTCCATAGTTTGATGTTTTCAGATTTTGAGGCCTTGGAGCAGTGTCAATTATCAGGACGTAGGATACATGAGAAATATACTTACCTGCTGTAAAATAGGAGAAAATTCCTATAAACCCAACCACTTCTCAGATAATTTTAAGATCAGTTTTAAAAACACATTCACACAGAGTTTCAAGATCTGAAAATTGGAAAGTCAATAGCCAATTGTCTATGGCCAATTAAGACAGGTTGAGAGATACAGAAATGTATAAATGCACATCTTCAAAATTCTTTAAAATTAGAAATAATGGGAATAATTCACTTGAGAATTGTCTTAAATTGGGGAAAATCAGAGGTTAAGATAAAGGAGAAAATATTTTCCATTTCTAAGTTCAAACATTGGTTCCTACTAATATATGCAAATTTAAATGCAAATTATTAGAATAGTAAGTACTCAAATGCTGCTGTACATTGTGAAGGAGATCACTGTTTTCTCAGCTTTGTAAGTTATATGTAAAAAGGTAACGGAAAATGCAATATTGCACTAAATATTTCTGAGGGTATTTTAAGTATAAAGAGTCTTTACTAGATACACATCATCTCAGCCCAAAATCTCCTTAAGCTGATAAGCAACTTCAGCAAAGTCTCAGGATACAAAATCAATGTGCAAAAATCACAAGCATTCCTATACACCAATAACAGACAAACAGAGAGCCAAATCATGAGTGAACTCCCATTCACAACTGCTACAAAGAGAATAAAATACCTAGGAATCCAACTTACAAGGGATGTGAAGGACCTCAAGGAGAACTACAAACCACTACTCAATGAAATAAAAGAGGATACAAACAAATGGAAGAACATTCCATGCTCATGGGTAGGAAGAATCAATATCGTAAAAATGGCCATACTGCCTAAGGTAATTTATAGATTCAACGCCATCCCCATCAAGCTACCAATGACTTTCTTCACAGAATTGGAAAAAACTACTTTAAAGTTCATATGGAGCCAAAAAAGAGCCTGCATCGCCAAGTCAATCCTAAGCCAAAAGATCAAAGCTAGTGGCATCATGCTACCTGACTTCAAACTATACTACAAGGCTACAGTAACCAAAACAGCATGGTACTGGTACCAAAACAGACATAAAAACCAATGGAACAGAACAGAGCCCTCAGAAATAATGCCACATATCTACAACCATCTGATCTTTGACAAACCTGACAAAAACAAGCAATGGGGAAAGGATTCCCTATTTAATAAATGGTGCTGGGAAAACTGGCTGGCCATAAGTAGAAAGCTGAAATTGGATCCCTTCCTTACACCCTATACAAAAATTAATTCAAGATGGATTAAAGACTTAAATGTTAGACCTAAAACCATAAAAACCCTAGAAGAACACCTAGGCAATACCATTCAGGACATAGGCATGGGCAAGGACTTCAAGTCTAAAACACCAAAAGCAATGGCAACAAAAGCCAAAATTGACAAATAGGATCTAATTAAACTAAAGAGCTTCTGCACAGCAAAAGAAACTACCATCAGAGTGAACAGGCAACCTACAAAATGGGAGAAAATTTTTGCAACCTATTCATCTGACAAAGGGCTAATATCCAGAGTCTACAATGAACTCAAACAAATTTACAAGAAAAAAACAAACCACCCCATCAAAAAGTGGGCAAAGCATACGAACAGACACTTCTCAAAAGAAGACATTTATGCAGCCAAAAAACACATGAAAAAATGCTCATCATCACTGGCCATCAGAGAAATGCAAATCAAAACCACAATGAGGGCCGGGCGCGGTGGCTCACGCCTGTAATCCCAGCACTTTGGGAGGCCGAGGCGGGCAGATCACGAGGTCAAGAGATTGAGACCATCCCGGCTAAAACGGTGAAACCCCGTCTCTACTAAAAATACAAAAAAATTAGCCGGGCGTAGTGGCGGGCGCCTGTAGTCCCAGCTACTTGGGAGGCTGAGGCAGGAGAATGGCGTGAACCCGGGAGGCGGAGCTTGCAGTGAGCCGAGATCCCGCCACTGCACTCCAGCCTGGGCGACAGAGCGAGACTCCGTCTCAAAAAAAAAAAAAAACCACAATGAGATACCATCTCCCACCAGTTAGAATGGCAATCATTAAAAAGTCAGGAAACAACAGGTGCTGGAGAGGATGTGGAGAAATAGGATCACTTTTACACTGTTGGTGGGACTGTAAACTAGTTCAACCATTGTGGAAGTCAGTGTGGCGATTCCTCAGGGATCTAGAACTAGAAATACCATTTGATCCAGCCATCCCATTACTGGGTATATACCCAAAGGATTATAAATCATGCTGCTATAAAGACACATGCACACATATGTTTATTGTGGCACTATTCACAATAGCAAAGACTTGGAACCAACCCAAATGTCCAACAATGATAGACTGGCTTAAGAAAATGTGGCACATATACACCATGGAATACTATGCAGCCTTAAAAAATGAAGAGTTCATGTCCTTTGTAGGGACGTGGATGAAACTGGAAACCATCATTCTCAGCAAACTATCACAAGGACAAAAAACCAAACACCACATGTTCTCACTCATAGGTGGGAATTGAACAATGAGAACACATGGACACAGGAAGGGGAACATCACACTCTGGGGACTGTTGTGGGGTGGGGGGAGAGGGCAGAGATAGCATTAGGAGATATACCTAATGCTAAATGATGAATTAATGGGTGCAGCACACCAACATGGCACATGTATACATATGTAACAAACCTGCATGTTGTCCACATGTACCCTAAAACTTAAAGTATAATAATAATGAAAAAAAGAGTCTTTACAATTTTTTCATTGTTGAAGATGAGTTTAGTAACAACCTCAACAACATTAAAAAATATTTATAGCTGGTTTTAGACCCATGTTTTAAGATGAACATTTTAGAGCCAATTCAATTTAATATATTTTCACCACACATTTATTTTCAAAAAGGGCATATTTTGAATGAGAAAATGAAACATCAGCTTTTCTTCTCCTGATTGATTCTCTAACTGATAGTTCTGCTTAGTTGACTAACTATTGCCCAGGAATATAAAGGAATACAATTTGCCTCCAGGAACACATTCTCGACCTCTTGATCCCAGATGATTCTCTGAAATGGCATCTTGTGATAGTGAAGAATAAACTGCTTTTATTTGTATGTGTTTTTCTTCTCACAATATCTATTGGGTTGTCAGAGTTGAGTTGCCTGTGTTCCTACAACCTTATTACTTAAGAGTACTAAAATGACAGAATACACCTTCCCAGGTCTCATAAAGAAAGCTTGCTTGCTTGCTTGCCTGTTTTTAATAGTAAAGTCACTAGAAAATAACGTATGCTGTCAGCCATAATCCAAGATAAACAAAAGATTTTTTAGGATTTCCCTCCATCCTTCTGCTGGTCCAACATAGGCCAGGAATAATTTATTACTTCATTTAGAACAAATATTTAACTGATCATCTGACAAAGAGGACATTCTTCCAGACCACTATAATTTCATGGGCCTATGAGGACCTATGTATTTCAGCAGTTAAAGTCACATCCCTTCCAATCTAAAGTACATACATATGATTTGGAACTATGTCACCCATTTCAGGATTTAAAGCTAGATCTTTCCAATCTGCCCTTCTTCCAGCCTCTATCCTACACTTTAATATCCAGCTACTCCCCACTCCAACAACTCCCTCTGTAATAGCACCTATACATGTATTCAATAAATGTTACTTGAGAATGTACTGTGTCCTAAACCTTTCCTGGATAATAGAGAGGCCAGTCATTGAAACAAGGATTTATTTCCTTTGAAGTTTACATTCTATAATAAGGAGTACAGACAGAAAAATAATGAGATAGTGAAAAGTTAAGTTAAATAGTATATTAGAAATTAATGTGTACTATGGAAAGAAGAAAAACCAAAGGATAATGGAGATTCAGAGTACAGATGATTTTAAATACAGTAGTCAGGATAGACCTGGTTGAAAGAGACATTAAGGTAAATCTTAAAGAAGGTAAAGTAATTATTTCTACAGAAATCTGGGGAAAGAACATGCCAACTAGAGGTAACAGCCAGTATAGTGGTCCTACAGCAAGCCTTAAACCAACATGCTCCAAGGAGACAAAGAAGGTCTCTAAGGCTGGAGCAAAATATATAAGAAGATAAACAAGAATATTAGAAGAAGTTAATCCAATCCTGTAGTGACTTAAAGGCCCTTGTAAGAAATGTGGCTTTTACTATGAAACAATGAGACTGAATAAAGAAGATTGACATGATCCATTTTAAATTTTCAAGTTATTATCTTGAAAATAGAATGCAGACACAGGGATTACTAACAATAAACTATTGCAGTAATCAAGGGAATAATGTGGTATTTAGATTTCTATTTCTATATTAGTTTGCTTAGAATAATGACCTCTGGCTCCATCCATGTTGTTGCAAAAGACATAATCTTGTTCTTTTTTATGGCTACATAGTACAACACGATGTATATGTACCACATGACTTTATCCAGTCTACCATTAATGAGCATTTAGGTTGATTCCATGTCTTTGCTATTGTGAACAGTGCTGTGATCAATATATGCATGCAAGTATCTTTATGGTAAAGCAGTTTATATTCTTTTGGGTAAATATGCAATAGTGGGATTGTTGGGTCAAATGGTAGTTCTGGTTCAAGTTCTTTGAGGAATTGTTACACTGCTTTCCACAATAGCTGAACTAACCCACAGTTCCACCAAGAGTGTGTAAGCATTATCTTTTATCCAAAACCTCCTCACCGTTTGTTATTCTTTGACTTTTTAACAATAGCCATTCTGATTGGTGTAAGATGGTATGTCACTGTGGTTTTCATTTGCATTTCTATAATGATTAGTGATGTTGAGCACTTTTTCATATGCTTCTTGGCCACATGTATGCCTTTTTTTTTTTTAGAAGTGTCTGTTTATATGCTTTGTCCACTTTTTAATGGAGTTGTTTGTTTTTTCCTTGTTGCTTTAAGCGCCTTATGGATTATGGCTATTAGATCCTTGTCAGATGGACAGTTTGAAAATATTTTCTCCCATACTGGAGGGTGTCTGTTTATTCTGTTAATAGTTTCTTTTGCAGTACAGAAGTTTAATTCTGTCCCACTCGTCAATTTTTGCTTTTGTCACAATTGCTTTTGGCATTTTCATCATGAAATCTTTGCCATATCCTATGTCCAGAATGGTATTGCCTAAGTTAGCCTCCAGGGTTTTCATAGTTTAGGTTTTACATTTAAGGCTTTAATACATTTTGAGTTGATTTTTGTGTATGGTATAAGGAAGGGGTCCTGTTTCAGTCTTCTGCATATGGCTAGCCAGTTATCCCAGAACTATTTATTGAATAGGGAGTCCTATCCCCATTCCTTGTTTTTGTCAGCTTTGTTGATGATCACATGGTTATCTGTAACCAGTAAGATGTGCAGCCTTACTCCTTGGCTGTTATTCTGTTTCATTGGTTTACATGTCTGTTTTTGTACCAGTACAATGCTGTTTTGATTACTGTATCCCTGCAGTATAGTGTAAAGCTGGGTAATGTGATGCCTTCAGCTTTGTTGTTTTTGTTTAGGATTGCCTTGACTATATGAGCTCTCTTTTGGTGCCATATGAATTTTAAATTGTGTTTTCTAATTCTATGAAGAATATCACTGGTAGTTTCATGGGAATAGTATTGAATCTATAAATTGTTTTGGGCAGTATGACCATTTTAATAACATTGATTCTTCAGATCTAGGAGCATGGAATGTTTTTCCATTTGTTTGTGTTATCTCTGACTTCCCTGAGCAGTGTTTTGTAACTTTGATTGTAGAGATCTCTATCCTCCCTGGTTAGCTTTATTCCTAGGTATTTTATTCCTTTTATGGAAATTGTGAATGGCACTGTATTCCTGATATTACTCTCAGCTTGGATGGAGTTGTTGGTGTATAGGACTGCAATTCATTTTTGTATATTGATTTTATATACTGAAAATTTGCTGAAGTTGTTTATCAGATCAAGAGGCTTTTGAGCAGAGGGCATGGGGTTTTGTAGATATAGAATCATGTCATCTGCAAACAAGTATAGCTTGACTTCCTCTCTTCCTATATGGATGCCTTTTATTTCTTTCTCTTGCATGACCGCTCTTGCCAGCACTTCCAATACTATGTACAATGGGAATGGTGAGGAAGGACATCCCTGTCTTATTCTGGTTTTCAGGGGAATTGTTTTCAGCTTTTGCCTATTCAGTATGATGTTGGCTGTGTGTCATAGATGGCTTTCATTATTTTCAAGTATGTTCCTTCTTTACTGAGGGTTTTTTAACATGAGGTGATGTGGAATTTTATCAAAAACTTTTTCTGCATCTATTGAGATAATCATGTGGTTTTCATTTTTAAATCTGTTTATGTGGTGAATCACATTCACAATTTGTGTACGTTAAACAAAACTTGCATACCAGGGATAAAGCCTACTTGATTGTGATAGATAAGCTTTTTGGTGTGCTACTGGATATGGTTTACTAGTATTTTTTTGAGGATTTTTGCATCTGTATTCATCAAGGACATTAGCCAAAAAGTATTTGGTTGTTGTTGCATCTCTGCTAGGTTTTGGTAACAGGATGATACTGGCCTTATAGAATACATTGGGGAGGAGTCCCTTCTCCTAAATTTTTTGGGATAGTATCAGTAAGAATGGTGCCAGCTTTTATACATCTGGTAGAATTTGGCTGTAAGTCTGTCTCGTCCTGGGCTTTTTTTGGTTAGTAGGCTTTTTATTACTGATTCAATTACAGAATTCATTATTCATTCAGGGATTCAATTAATTTTTGGTCCAGACTTGGGAAGACTTAAAAATTAGACTTATTAAAAATTAATTTTTGTGAATAACAAACTTGTGGACTAATTGATCTTTTGTATTTTTTGGTTTTAATTTCCTTTAGTTCAGCTCGGATTTTAGTTATTTCTTGTCTTCTGCTAGCATTCAGGTTGGTTTGCTCTTGCTTCTTTAGTTCCTGTAGTTGTGATATTATCTTATTCATTTGAGATCTTTCTAACTTTTCGATATGGGTGTGTAGTGCTCTAAAATTCCCTCTTAATACTGCCTTAGCTGTGTCCCAGAGATTCTGGTATGTTGTATCTTTGTTCTCACTAATTTCGAAGAACTAATTGGTTTCTGCCTTAATTTCATTACTTACCCAAAAATAATTCAAGAGTAGTTTGTTTAATTTTCATGTAATTTTATGATTTTGAGTGATTTTCTTAGCTTTGATTTCTATTTTTATTTAGCTGTCATCTGAGAGTGTGTTTGGTACAATTTTGGTTTTTTTTGAATATTCTGAGGATTGCTTTATGTCCAACCATGTGGTTAATTTTAGATAATGTACTATGTTCAGATAAGAAGAATGTATATTCCGTTGTTTTGGGGTGGAGAGTTCTGCAGATGTCTGCTAGGTCTCTTTGTTCAAGTGTTGAGTTCAAGACCTGAATATCTTTGTTAATTTCCTGCCTTGATTATCTAATATCAATGGGATGTTGAAGACTCCCACTGCTACTGTGTGTGAAACTAAGTCTATTTGTAGGTTTCTAAGAACTGCTTTATGAATTTGGGTGCTCCTGTGTTGATGCATATATACTTAGGATAGTTAGGTCTTCTTGTTGAATTGTACCATTTACCATTATGTAGTGCCCTTCTTGGTCTTTTTAAATTTTTATTGGCTTAAAATCTGTTTTGTCTGAAATTAGAATAGCAACCCCTGCTTATTCTGTTTTCCATTTGCTTGGTAGATTTTTATCCAACTCTTTATTTTCAGCCTATGGATGTCATTGCATGTGAAATGGGTCTCTTAAAGACAGCATACCAATGGGTCTTGCTTCTTTATCCAGCTTGCCACTCTGTGCCTTTTAATTGGGGCATTTAGCCCATTTACATTCAAGGTTAGTATTGATGTGTGTAATTTTGATCCTGTCATCTTGTTATTAGCTCTTTATTATGCAGACTGGTGTGGTTGTTTTATAGTGTCACTCATCTGTGTACTCAAGTATGTGTTGCAGGGGCTGGTAGTGGTCTTTCCTTTCCATAGTTAGCACTCCTTTTAGCACCTCTTGTAAGGCAGGTCTTGTAGCAACCAATTCTCTCAGCATTTGCTTGCCTAAAAGGATCTTATTTCTACTTTGCTTATGAAGCTTAGTTTGGCTGAATAAGAAATTCTTGGTTGGAATTCTTTTCTTTAAAAATGCTGAATATAGGCCCCCAATCTCTTCTGACTTTTAGGGTTTCTGCTGAAAGGCCTGTTGTTAGCCTGATGGGGTTCCCTTTGTAGGTGACCTGTCTCTTTCCTCTAGCTCCCTTTAACATTTTTTCTTTCATTTCAACCTTGGAGAACCTGATGACTACATGTCTTGGGGATGGTCTTCTTGTGTAGTATCTTACAGGAATTCTCTGAATTTCCTGAATTTTAATATTGGCTTCTCTAGAAAGGTTGAGGAAGTCTTCATGGAATGTTATCCAAGTTGCTTGCTTTCTCCCCATCTCTTTCAGGGACACCAATGAGTCATAGCTTTGGTCTCCTTACATAATTCCATATTTCTCAGAGGTTTTGTTTATTCTTGTTTATTAATTTTTCTTTTTGTCTGACTGACTTATTTCAGAAAGCCAGGATTTGTGTTCTGAAATTCTTTCCTTGGCTTGGTCTATTCTGCCATTAGTATTTGCAATTGCATTATGAAATTATTATAATGTGTTTCTCAGCTCTATCAGATCAATTTGTTTTTTTAATAATAGTTATTTCATCTATTAGCTCCTGTATCATTTTATTGTGATCCTTAGATTCCTCAGATTTGGTATCAACTTTCTCTTGAATCTCAGTGATTTTGTTTCTATCCATATTCTAAATTTTATTTCTGTCATTTCAACCATTTCAAGCCAGTTGAGAATATTTGTTGGAAAACTACTGTGAATGCTTGGAGGAAAGAGGCCACTCTGGCTTTTTGAGTTGCTAGAGTTCTTGCACTGGTTCTTTCTCATCTGTGTAGGTTGTTGTTCCTTTCACTGAGGTGTAATTTGAGTATAATCAGTAGACTCCTTTTCTGGATGTTTTCAGAGGGCCAAGGCTTTGTGAAGGGTCTTTATTTGTAGTTAAATTATTGTCCTTTGTTTCACAGGGGGTATATTAGCAAAGTATTAATATTTTTACTGAAATTTTTGCCTGTGACCCAGAAGGTGACAGTTAAGTGAAATGGCCAGTAGGTAGGCTCTTGCTCAGCCACCTGACTCCTCTGTATTTCCTCACAGTTGCAGCCATGCCCCCTCTCAGTGCTCTGAAAGTGCTGGCTGCAGATCTCAGCTTGGCACTCTCAGGCTGCACACTGCATCTCTGGGGCAACCTCAGGCTTTATGTTCCCTCCCCACCTTGGAGACAGCAGAAGAAGCAACCTTAGCAGTGATGGTTGCAGAAGGCCTTTTTTTTTTTTAAATTTTACTTTAAGTTCTACGGTACATGTGCACAATGCACAGGTTTGTTACATATGTATACATGTGCCATGTTGGTGTGCTGCAGCCATTAACTCGTCATTTCCATTAGGTATATCTCCAAATGCTATCCCTCCCCGCTCCCCCCACCCCATGACAGGCCCTGGTGTGTGATGTTCCCTGCCCTGTGTCCAAGTGTTCTCATTGTTCAATTCCCACCTATGAGTGAGAACATGTGGTGTTTGGTTTTTTGTCCTTGCAATAGTTTGCTGAGAATGATGGTTTCCAGCTTCATCCATGTCCCTACAAAGGACATGAATGCATCCTTTTTTATGGCTGCATAGTATTCCATGGTGTATATGTGCCACATTTTCTTAATCCAGTCTATGGACATTTGGCTTGGTTCCAAGTCTTTGCTATTGCGAATAGTGCTGCAATAAACATACATGTGCATGTGTCTTTATAGCAGCATGATTTATAATCCTTTTGGTATATACCCAGTAATGGGATGGCTGGATCAGGCCTTTTTCACCTGTCTCTTGGGGCTCTACCCCAGAACCACTATCAATCAGTAATGATTGGCCTGGGGTAGTGCAGCTGCCCTGTGGACCCAAGCTGGTGGATCCTGTCGTAATGAGCAAGTGCTCTGTGGGTCTCATGAGAGAAACACTGGCCTTGGGACTTCACACAACTTCTTCTTAGGGCAACTGCAGCTTGTTGAAGGTGTGGTTAAAGGACTCAGAGTCTTTGTTTCTTCCCCAATCCAGGGCAGTGAAAGCAGTACCACTGCAGGGGCAGTGGGAGAGGGGCTTTTGGTTGCCTATGGGAGCTCCGTCTCAGAGAAATACAGAGCTGCCGCTACTGGAGTTTTCAGCCAGGTGGGTGGGTTGGCTGTACTGCTGGCCTGAGCTGGGAGCTCCACTTGTTGAGGAGTGGAAGGTGAAGGTCTCACAGGAAGGAGAGACTGGGTCCCTCTCTGTATGCTGACTGTGGTGTGCTGGAAGTGAAGGTGAAGCCCTCCATCTCTTCGTTTCTTTCCCAGACTGAGGGCAGCAGGAGCAGAACCACTGCTGTGGCAGTGGCAGAGGGGCTGTTGGTTGCCTCTGGGAGCCTCTCCCCATGGAAACTCAGAGTCCCTGCTAGTGGGTGTGCTCAACCATGAGTGGAATAGCTGATCTGTGGTCCTGAGCTGGAGGACTTGCCTGTTCAAGAGTGGGGAGTGGGGTCTTACAGGGAAGAGAGACTGGATTGTTCTCCATATGGTGGTTGCGGTGTGCTGGAGGTGCCAGCATAGCAACTAGGCCCTTTGTTCCTTCCCTAGCCTGAGGGTGGTTAGGCTCATACCACCTCAGCTGCAATGGTGGAGGGATTGTGGGTTGTATCTGGGACTTCCTCCTCAAAGAACTGCATAGCTACCTTCAACTGAAGTGTTCAGGTGGGGACAGGGTAGTTGTGCTGGGTCAGGAGGCCCTGCCCAGCAAGGAGAACCAGAATTGGGGACATGTGTGGAAAGTGGTTTGACCACCCTTTTTTCCTTTTTCACAGGGCAGCTGTGTTGTGCTGGGAATCTGCACCTGTCCCTAGTCATCCCACACCCTTGAGAGCCCAAAGGCAAAATTGGCAAAGGCTGCAACAAACCCAAAGTGGCGGCTTGCCCCTCCCTGTGGAAGCTCCATCCCAGGGAAGTGCAGAGTTGCTACTGGCCTGACAGCCCCAGTGAGCTGTGGCTGGAGTCCCAGGTCGGGAGTGCCCACCCAGTGAAAAGAAGCGGGACTGGGGACCCATGTAAAAAACAGTCTGGCTACTTTTCCGCGGGGCAGCTGTGTTGTGCTGTGTATCCTTGCATGTCCCTAGTCACTGTGCACCCTCTGGAACCTGAAGGCAGTAGCAAGGAGGGCTGTGAGACAGCCAAAATTGTGGCTTGTCTGTCCCTGTGAGAACCCAATCCCAAGAAAGTACAGACCTCCTACCTACCTGAGAGCCCAAGAGGGAGGTGGCTGGAGTCCTAGACCAGTGAGTCTTATCCTCCAAGCTGCAGTAGAGGTGAGGCCTGCAGTCCATCACCATTCAGTCCGTGGATTCAGTCCCTTTCCTGGGGGCACATGAGGGAGTCTGACCTACCACCCCATTGCCAGAGCTGCAGCCACTAGTGCCAAATGCCTGAAGATCCAAGGCTTCTGGGACTCCATGTGTGCCTGAGTAATAGCTCTTCCAAAGCTCCATGTAACTCTGTGTGACAATCTGAAGGCCTTGGTGGGATGAACTCATGAGGGGATCTTCTGAGCCCAGGATTGCAAAAGTCCACGGAAGAAGTATGCGTCCTGGCCGGAAGCAGTGGCTCATGCCTGTAATCCCAGCACTTTGGGAGGCCGAGGTGTGAGGATCACAAGGTCAGGAGATCGAGATCATCCTGGCTAAAAAGGTGAAACCCCGTCTCTACTAAAAATACAAAAAATTAGCCAGGCATGGTGGCAGGCGCCTGTAGTCCCAGCTACTTGGGAGGCTGAGGCAGGAGAATGACGTGAACCTGGGAGGCAAAAAAGGAGTATGGGTCCCTGGGGTCTCTCACTCACTATTTCTACATGGTAGGGAAGCCATCTCTGGCCCAATGTCCCTCCTGGATGGGAGGGCTTCCTGTCCTGCTTACCTCCATTCTCTGTGGGTGGAGTTGTTTCCTTGATTAATCCCAATGTGTCCACCTGGATGTTTCAGATGATCTAGTATTTACTCACACTTTTTCTCCCTGTGAAATCAGCACACACTAGTTGCTTCTAGTCAGCCAGATTGAGAAGCAACCCAAGTTCTTCCACTTATTAAGCAACTCATTTTTTTTTCCTGGCTTTCAGTTTACATATTGATAAAACATATTTATTTAAATGTTGTTGAAAGAATATACTAAGATAATTTAAGAGGCCTAGTATATTTTTCTTCCTTTTTCTCAACTGTTAGATATTATTAAAGAAATAAACTGAAGTTGTTTATACAACAAAGAATGAAATGTGTATAACTAGACAGTCTACATTAATAAACCACCTCAAAAATTCCTAAACATATTCTTTTCAGCTGTCTTTAAATCCCCATCTGTTAGCAGTGGTGAATCCATATGGGTCTGCAGCAAACTTGATTCTGGCCTCCTAGAAGGAAAGAATTCAGCCAAGGGGCATAAGGTAGAGGAGAAACTGAAGCAAGTTTTAGAGCAGGAGTGAAAGTTTATCCAAATGTTTTAGTGCAGGAACGAAAGAAGGTACACTTGGAAGAGGTCCAAGCCAATGACTTGAAAGATTCAAGTGCATAATTTAGCCCTCGACTTGATGTTTTATATACTGGCATGGTTCCAGGGTTTCCCTTTTTCATCCCTTGATTTTTCCCCTGGGTTGGGCTGTCCACATGTGCAGTGGCCTGCTAGCACTTAGAAGAGGCTGCATGTACAGTGTGTTTACTGAAGTTGTTTGCATGCTCACTTGAGGTGTTCCCTTACTAGTCGAGTTTTCCTAGAGGAAGGTCCTATACCAGTTAAACTCTGCATTTTGCCTCTTAGTGTACATGCTTAAGCCCACTTGCCCAACTCCTGAGATCTTATTGGAAAGCTGCTTATCACCAGCTTCAGGTGTTTTCTATCTATTGGAAGACTGCCTTTCCCTAGTCCCAGCTGCAGCCAATTATTATTTTGGAGACACAGTTTAGCAATCTCATGAACATCATCTGCTGGTCACCTGACATTCCTGGGCGGCATTCTCCTGCCCTGCTCATGTCTGCCTAGCTACTCACTCAAACACATCTACTATGTTACATTTATAGTCCTTACATTTTCTCTCCCCACAAGAAGTTGCCTGAAATTCACCTAAAATGATCATTTCTATTTCCTGAGAGTAATGCAATATGAAGCAAATCTACATCAATATATTCCTGTTGAGTACTGCATGACTGTTATGATTTTTCCTGAATTGGAACCAAAGGGACAAATGTAGCACCAAAGAGGAAAAGAAAAATAAATACAGTAATGAAGGTAGTTCATGAATTGACAGTCTTGTCAGGTACACTTGCATCTGTCATGAGAAATGACTAGAGTTTTACCTGATATCTAAATGGAAAGAATATCTCTCATATATATATACGTATATATACGTATATATGTGTGTGTGTGTGTGTATATATATATATATATAAATAAATTTTTAGAAGTCTATTCTTTAAATCTTTTCAACAAGCTTAAAGCAAGTATTATTGTTATGGAACAGAACTGGGGTGCACTTGCCTGGTGCGGTAAGACCAGATATCTATATCAAGGTTTGCAGCAGTAGTAAGGATTTATTTTCAGGGTGCCAAGCAAAGAGAATCGGGCTGTTAATGCTTAAATCCCAACTTCTCTGATGGCTTATAGGTGAGGGCTTTTAAAAGCAGGGGTAAATTTTAGGAAAGCAGAAGTTACAGGCAAATTATGAATAAATTTGCATGGAGATTATACATTGATTTTGGTATAAATGGGCAGGATCTCTTGAAGCAGGGAGTTACAGATCATAGGAAGACTCAAAGACTTTTTGATTCTCAATTGGTTAAGGAAAAAAAGGGTTGTTTAAAAATTAAGTGTCAACAGAAAAGAATATTAGCTCTGGCTAGTGGATATGACTTTCTCCAGGCCCCTCAGGAAGAACTTTAAAACAAAGAAAAGTGGTCATAGACCAGTCTTTAGTTCTCCCTTCACCTGAGGTCTACATGCCAGGGGATCCACTTGGTGGAGTTCTGGGTTTGTAAAAAACAACTCAGGGAACAGAGTAGAGAGCCCAAAAATAAGACCACACACCTATGACCACCTGATCTTCAACAAAGCTGACAAAAACAAGCAATGGATAAAAGATTCCCAATTCAAAGAATGGTGCTGGGATAACTGGCTAGTCGTATGCAGAAGACTGAAGCTGGGCCCCTTCCTTATACTATATACAAAAATTAACTCAAGACAGATTAAAGACTTAAATATAAAACCCAAAACCATAAACACCCTGGAAGACAACCTAGCCAATACCATCCTGGACCTAGGAACGGGCAAAGACTTCATGACAAAGACACCAAAAGTAATCACAACAAAAACAAAAATTGGTAAGTGGGATCTAGTTTAACTTAAGAGTTTCTGCACAGCAAAAGAAACTATGAACACAGTAAAGAGACAATCTACATAATCAGAGAAAATATTTGCAATCTATGCATCTGACAAAAGTCTAATATCAAGAATCTATAAGAGACTTAAACAAATATACAAGAGAAAAACAACCCCATCAAAAAGTGGGCAAAGGACTTGAACAGTTTTTAAAAGAAGACATACATGTGACCAACAAACACATGAAAAAAAGCTCAATATCACTGATCATTAGAGAAATGCAAATCAAAACCACAATGAAATATCATCTCACACCAGTCACAATGGCTACTATTAAAAAGTCAAAAAATGAGAGATGCTGGCGAGGTTGCAGAGAAAAGAGAACACTTACACACTGTTGGTTGGAGTGTAAATTACTTCAACCACTGTTGAAAGCAGTATGGTGATTCCTCAAAGAGCTAAAAGCAAGATTACCATTCAACCCAGCAATCTCATACTGGGTATATACTCAGAGGAATATAAATAATTCTACCATAAAGACACATGCATACAAATATTCATTCCAGCACTATTCACAATAGCAAAAACATGGAATCAACCTAAATGTCCATCAAAAATGGATCGGATAAAGAAAATGTGGTAAATATACACCATGGAGTACTACACAGCCATCAAAAAAAGAACGAGATAATGTCTTTAGGGGGAACATGGATGGAGCTGGAGGCTATGATTTTTCAGCAAACACAGGAACAGAAAACCAAACACCACATATTCTCACTTATAAGTGGGAGCTAAATGATGAGAACTTATGAACACAATGAAGGAAACAACAGACACTGGGGTCTACTTGAGGGGGCCTGGGGGAGGAGGAGAGGAGGGAGAGAAGCAAAAAAGATAACTATTGGGTCCTGGACTTAATTCCTCGAAGATGAAATAATCTGTACAACAAACCCCCATGACATCAGTTTACCTGTGTAACAAACCTTCACATGTACCCCCGAACCTAAAATAAAAGTTAAAAAGAAATGACAATATATTTTATCTTTAGTTTCTATAACGAACAAAACATTTCCTGACTCTAACTTCCTTGGCTATTGTTTTAAGCTACTATTATCTTATTGCTTATCAAGTTGCTCACGGGGCTAGCTACGTAGCTGGAATTTCCCTTCAAGGAACTCAAGATTTGTGTTTATTTTCATGATAGGCTGAGAGGGGTTCCTGGCAAGCCCCTAAGAGGGGTTCCTACTCTGCTCAAAACATAGGTGATTTTTACCCCCAAAAAACTTCAAGTTATATTTTAGATTATACGTTAAATTGATATCTAACTCACAAACACCATCAAACATAATTTGTCTTCTGTTTGCTCCCAAGTTATAAATCTAAATTCACAGCATAGATTTAGAATACTGGTAAGCTGCTATTAAATGACTGCAGATACTTGCTTGTATATCCCATATAATTTTATTTACCAAATAAGAGTTCAAACTACTTTATATTTAGTGAAAGTTTGAAAATTAGCAAAAGAGAGATCAATGGACTAGATATTAAAGAAAATTCTCCAAGAAGAGGAAAGTTGATGTCAGATGGATATTTGGCTCTATAAAAAGGAATAAAAAGCAAGAGAGTATTCAAAATGTATGTGAATATATATTTTTAAATATCCTCATTTTTTTACAACCTGCGCTTGTACCCCTGAACTTAAAAGTTAAAAAACAAAAACAAAAAATATTCCCATGGAGGAAGATGAAGAAATACATAAATGACCAACACTATCTTGTTTATAAGAAATCCACTAAAGAAGACACAGGTTAAAAATGGAGGAATAGAAAGTGATATGCCACATAAACCTAATTATAAGAAAGCTGGAATGGTTATATCAGCGTCAGAACAATGTACACTTCAGAACAACTAGGGATACAGAGAAACATAAAGGGTTTCTCATAAGGGGTCAATTTATCAGGAGTAAATAAACATTCTAAATGTATTAATATGCCACTGGTAAGTGCTTCAAAATATATGAGGCCAGAACTGAAAAAAATAAAAGGGAAGCAAATAAATCCAATGTTTTAAGTTGCAGAATTCAACGCTGCCCTTTCAGTAACTGACAATACAAGCAAACATAAAATCACCAAGGATGCATAAGGCTTGGACAAAACTGTCAACCACTTGAATCTGGTTCACATTTGTGGAACACTCCACCAAATAATAGCAGAATACACATTGTTTTCAAATGTATATGGAAGAGTCATCACAATAGTCCATTGTAGGGGCCATAAAATGAGTCCCAAAATTAAAAATGAATTAAATCTGACAACAATGGAATTAAAGTAAAAACCATTAATATAGAAAAGCCTTAAATATTTGGAAATTAAGTCACATAATTTTAAATAATACCATTGAGTCTAAGAAGAAATGACAAAAGAAAATCAATGCATTGAACTGAAACATAATGAAAATACAACATGTCAACATTTGCTGAGTGAAGCTATAGCAGTACTCACAGCTTTACTGGTGAATTCTATCAAATAGTTAAGAGATTAATATTACAAAAATATCTCAGAAAATACTGGAGTAGAAAAAACAACTTTCAATTTGTGATTCCAGCACTATCCTATAATCAAAACCATACAAAGATATTACAAGAAAGCAAGTTACAGACAATGGTATTTTTTAGCAACAGATACTAGGAATGGAAAGTAGATTCTAGGAATAAAAAGAAACTTCTTCAAGATGATAAAGGACACCTATGAAAAAAATTAATGGTGAAAACCTGAATGTTTTCTCCTTAAAATCAGGAAAAAGTAAGGCTACTTACTCTTAACATATATTCCACACTGCAATGAAAGTCCTAGCCAGTGCAACAAAGGCAATAACTACAGAAAACTTCTACAACCAGTAAGTGATTTTTACAAGATTGAGATGCAAAGAGAGTATCCAAAAGTTAAATGTGTTTAAGTATGCTAGCAACAAATAGTTGCCAAATAAAATGAAAACCAAAGTTAACAAAAGCATCCAAAATTTTAAAACTTACTAGAAAATTCAATAATGTTTACATATTAGTTCTCCCTTATCTACAGATTCAGGGCAGTTCCAGTCAAATTATCCAAATGATCAGTGAAATGATTTAAACTTTCATATCAAAATGAAAGAATTTAAGCCTTCAGTTTGTTCTACATAACTCAAAGTCAATGATCTCCAGAATTGATATTCAAAGAGAGAAAATTTTAAATGCACAATAAAAAGGGCAGACAGAGAACAGCTTAACTGATGCCTCATTATCTTTTATCTAAAATGAAGGTAAGTTGTACAATTATCAAATTATTTTTATACACATGGCCTTTGCCCTAGCGCAGAAGAATCAAAGATTAATAGAACACTATCCCTATCAACAAGGAACTCACAGTCTGGTGGAAGAGTTGCTAATAGTCTAATGGAGGAATTTATTAAAGAGACATGACATGGAGAGTTTTTCTCCCTATTTATTGATTGTTATAACATGAAGAGTAATTTAGAAGAAGCCAAATGTGTTTTATATCTGGTACTCATTGGTCATTTGTTGAAGGAGCTCTTCTTTCCTCCATAGCTTCCTCTTCCAAGTTGACAAAGCAAAACTTCTTCAAGTTATGCATATTAATCTCCTCTTTCCCAAACTCTTTTGATGTATGTCTTCTGAACTATGAGATTAACATATTTTCCTATAATATTGAAGGGACATTATAAAAGATAAGTGACTCCTCTCACACTATGATGGGACAAGATCAAGTTTCTTTCATTAGCTTTAACAAAACAGCACACATTCTACTACTCTGTATGTTGATTTTATAGCAAGTGCTATCTTAGCACACCAATATCTAAAATCTCCTCTTACACCAAGAAACTGTCTTAAATATTGCAACCTCCTTACACATAGAAACTTTCTTCTGTTTGTTTGCACCACATTGCCCAGTGAATAAGGACATGGTATCCATGCAATAAACACTTATTTTTTTGTATGTGGGTTAATAATATATGTAGAATTATTTTTAGGATTAATAATCTTTACTTCTTATTGTATATTCTAAGTGGTACCTTCTCACAAAGCCTATGTTAATCTTCAGTCATTCCATTGGAAACATGTTACCTTTAGGGTAAATATACTGATTGCAAAGCAACATTTTCAGCTTGCCATTTTTTACCCCAAAAATAGCATTTCTGGCACCCAGCTTTAATCATGTGACTATTCAGTTTAGGCTTGTTCTGTCAGGCAATACAGGGACAATAGATGCTATCTGGGAATGAAAATCAATAAACCTATATTCCAGCTTCAGTTGCTTGCACCTCACTTTCCTATTTCATAAAAAAAATGGTAAGGTCATTGTCTCAACCAATCCACAGAACAAAGTGAGAATTTACAATAATATTTTCTTATGGCTTAGGTGTTCCGGGAAAAGTGCCATGTGAACAGTTGGTATGCTTCGTCATCGTTGATTTCCAGAGAATAATAAGTGATCAATCATGTTTTATTCTAATATATATAATGATAGACAAGATAGCCCAGGTATTTTGCAAATATAAGGGAACAACACATCTTAAAGATTGTATGTTTCTAAAATTCCATCAGGCATTCCAGTTCCTGGTGTAGATAGTAGCATTCATGAGAACTTTTACTATTTTATTTTATTTTAGAGATGGGGTCTCACTATGTTGCACAGGCTGGAGTACAGTCGTGGGATCTCAACTTGCTGTAATCTCTGCCTCCTGGACTCAAGCAATCCTCCTACCTCAGCCTTCTGAGTAGCTGCGACCATAGGTGCTCACCACCATGCCCAGCTAATTTTTTGTATTTTTGGTAGAGACAAGGTTTCACCATGTTGTTCATGCTAGTCTTGAATTCCTGAGCTCAGAGATTCACCCACCTTGGCTTCCCAAAGTGCTGGGATGAGCTACTGTGCCCAGCTTCATGTGCTGTTTTAAAAAGAAACGTGGCTTCTCTTACTATTTCTTTTTCATGTCAAAGTTTTGCCACATAAAACTAATCTAAGAAAATGTAGTATATGTTGGTCCTAGGGCACCTATTTCAGGACTTTACTACACGTTGGAATAATCTGAAGATCTATAAAAATATTGATGCCTTCCTAGCACTCCCAGATATTCTAATTTAACTGGCATGAGGTGAAAGCTGAATATTTGGATTTTTAAAAAGTGGTCCATGTGATTCTAATATGCAGCCAACTTTCAAACTCACTATCCTAAGCAGTTGCCTAATCACATTTAAGTCTTTTTTCTCAACTACCCCTTAGCTGCTGAAATTCATCAACTGAAATTCTGCTCCACCTAACCAAGATTTTAACTTTGTGAATACTTATTTTATTTAGAAATTGCAAGCCATCTGATTATGCATAACCTTTCTTGCTATGATGTGTTAAGTCTTAACATTTGGCTCTAATTAGCCTTACACAGCCCACAAATTCCAGGTGAAGCTCATTATTTTCCCTGCCCAAACTAGCCTTTTCAACGTTTTATAAGATTCAAAGATTTGATCTCTAATTTTCACATTTACCCAAAATTATTTTGTTCAATGAAGGGTCCTTCTTGTATGTAGAATGTCAGAGAGACATCACTCCCACTGAGGATATCACCTGGTTCTGTTTCCACAAGCTGTGCTTTACAAGGCATCAAAAGCAACTGTGTGTGTCCCATTTCCTCTGGGCACCAAAACTATCCTAATGAATTAATCTATTGTAAACCATTGTTTGAAAAACTCTTATGCCTGTGTCTTACTCAGCCTGAACCCTTTCCTTGGAATAACCTTTCGTACCCCTATAATCTGGTTTTTGGACCATTGAGTACAGGTTCATGTTCCAGGGCTCAGTTGAGACATCACAGCCACCAATAAGGTCTGTTTTGAGTCCATTTTTCTAAGGGAGGATTGATCACTCTACCCTCTAGGCACTCACTGGGTAGCTAATGCTTCTATCATAGACCTTAAATCTCTCTCACACTATCAGTTGATCTTCTAACTCTCTTCAAGAAGCTATACAACACTCAAAAGTGAAAAACATATTTATGTCCCAAGTCTCTATCACTGTACTTGACACTGTAGGTACACGGTATGCACTGATCCAATGAATTAAATTTTTTTTAAATGATAAAAACATGGGGCTTGGAGTCAGATATGGGCAAAAATTCCAATTCTGCTTCTTCTAGTTTATTTTCGAACAAACCACGTAAATTTTCTAAGCCTAAATGATCCCACATAAAATGTGACTTGTAAGCGATGCCTTTTGGGATTCTGTGAGAATTATATAAGATAATATCACATGCATAAATCATTCTCCCCCAGACCTCATCTGTGGTAAAGTAGTACCAGTGGAATTCAGGATCAATGTCATTTTTACTCTCTAAAGCTGTTCTCCAGTTTATAACGTTACCAACACTATCTCACCACACTTTAACCAAACATTGCCTCTCAGATATTTTAAGTAACAGTTTGACAACCCTTGCCCTCATTCTGTGTTGTTATCATATTAAGTGGTACTGAGCTCTTGTTTATAAATATTGAAAGCTAGAGTTTATTCTTGACAAAGTGCACACAATGAAATAAGAAACAGGTATACCACTTAAACTATGCCATTGGATCATGAAGTTAATCCAATATCTGACTATTATCAGGGAAATGTTGCTTATGAGAAGAATACCAGACAATTACATGGCAATTGGGTGTTTGCATCTTCTATCCTTACTTGCTGCCATTCTAAATTAAAATTTACAAAATCTAATATTTTCTAGTGAGCAGTACTGGTACTGGGAGAAGAATGAGCTCCTCCCTAACCTCATCTTCTCCTACCACACTCCTGAATGAAAATAGTTATTAGAGACAGTTTAAACTTTAAATGGATTTGCGGCACTATCATCAGGTTGTCAATTGTTGATTTGTTGTATTTGGCAATTGTTAATTTTGTAGATGACATTTAGGGAAAAGAGGAGACTGCAGTCTTAGCTTTTTTTACTAAAGAGGAATGGGCAAACTCTGTTGCATTGTCTTATATTTGTTCTAAAGCACACTAAAAATATGCCACAGAATCTATGTAATAAATATGCTTTTGATGACTTTATAGATATCCCACAGTTGACAACAGGGCATTTAAATGGCCCAATACATTTTTTAAATAGGTACTCATTTTGGAAAGCAATATTTACCTGATTTGTTTATCTGCCGTGAAATACAACAGTACATGGTACAATTTTACTGATACATGTACAAAATGACCAAATTCTAATCAGTTCAAAACCTTCTAATTTTATTAAGAAATTCTAACTCTGGAAAATAGAAAATGCCAATTTTTTGGCTGATTGTATTTAAAAAGTAGTGCCGTCAACTACAGATTACATGTCTACATTTACTGCATTTATGATTTAGCTTCTACATCTTAACTAATATACTACTTTCTTTAAAGCAAAGCCTTTTCTGAGTATTCCTCCACAGTAGGACTAGGTTAGATGCATTTCATATATACATAGTCATAGAATCTGGTGCATAGTAAAAACTCTATTATCACTTATCAATAAATAAAAAATATTGGACTTATTCATAGAGAGATAAAAAATGATGGTGATAGAAACACATTTTTTCAAACAAATACAGGTAGCAATAATTCATTTCCAGGAGATATACACTAAAAGAAACGTTAAAGGAGGCTAGTAAAAGATGGCAATATCAATTTACACAAAGAAGAACATTGAAAAAGAATTTTTTAAAAGAGTAAGTATAAAACACATTTCTTCTCCTTTTAATTTTTTTAAAAAGATAATTGTTTAAAGGCATAAGTTCTAAAAATGCATTTTCTATAAAATACGTATGAATATAATGAACGCCAATAATAGCACAAGAGATAAAATAGAGGAAGTAAAAATATATTGTTATGATGTTCTTATACTACATGAGAATTATATAATATTTTGAAACAGACTATGATAAGTTAAAGACATATATGATAAAAGACCCAAAATAAAGAAGTATAATAAGCAATATTGATAAGATCCCATCATAAAAAATAGATAATTAATACAAACAAGGCAGAGAAAAAAATAATTATTTAAAAAACATTAAAAACATCTAGCAAAATGGTGGATTTAAATGCAAATCTATAATTATATTGAATGCAAATGGTCTAAAATTGCCAGTTAAAAGACATAGTTATCACATTGGATTTAAAAGTAGATACAACTCAGCATTTGCTTGTCTGTAAAGGATTTTATTTCTCCTTCACTTATGAAGCTTAATTTGGCTGGATATGAAATTCTGAGTTGAAAATTATTTTCTTAAAGAATGTTGAATATTGGCCCCCACTCTCTCCTGGCTTGTAGGGTTTCTGCTGAGAGATCTGCTATTAGTCTGATGGGCTTCCCTTTGTAGGTAACCTGACCTTTCTCTCTGGCTGCCCTTAGCATTTTTTCCTTTATTTCAACTTTGGTGAATCTGACAATTATGTGTCTTGGGGTTGCTCCTTCTCGAGGACTATCTTTGTAGTGTTCTCTGTATTTCCTGAATTTGAATGTTGGCCTGCCTTGCTAGGTTGGGGAAGTTCTCCTGGATAATATCCTGAAGAGTGTTTCCCAGCTTGGTTCCATTCCCCCCGTCACTTTCAGGTCCGCCAATCAAATGTAGTTTTGGTCTTTTCACATAGTCCCATATTTCTTGGAGGCTTTGTTCATTTCTTTTTACTCTTTTTTCTCTAAACTTTTCTTCTCACTTCATTTCATTCATTTGATCTTCAATCACTGATACCCTTTCTTCCACTTGATCGAATCGGCTACTGAGGCTTGTGAATGCGTCATGTAGTTCTTGTGCCATGGTTTTCAGCTCCGTCAGGTCATTTAAGGTCTTCTCTACACTGTTTATTCCAGTTAGCCATTCATCTAATCTTTTTTCAAGGTTTTTAACTTCCTTGCAATGGGTTTGTACATCCTCCTTTAGCTCAGAGAAGTTTGTTATTACCGACTTTCTGAAGCCTACTTCTGTCAGCTCGTCAAAGTCATTCTCTGTCCTGCTTTGTTCCGTTGCTGGCGAGGAGCTGTGATCCTTTAGGGGAGAAGGGGCACTCTGGTTTTCAGAATTTTCAGCTTTTCTGCTCTGGTTTCTCCCCACCTTTGTGGTTTTATCTGCCTTTGGTCTTTGATGATGGTGACCTACAGATAGGGTTTTGGTGTGGATGTCCTTTTTGTTGATGTTGATGCTATTACTTTCTGTTTGTTAGTTTTCCTTCTAACAGTCAGGTCCCTCAGCTGCAGGTCTGTTGGAGTTTGCTGGAGGTCTACTCCAGACCCTGTTTTCCTGGTTATCACCAGCGGAGGCTGCAAAACAACAAATATTGCAGAACAGCAAATATTGCTGCCTGATCCTTCCTCTGGAAGCTTCATCTCAGAGGGGCACCAGGCTGTATGAGGTGTCAGTCGGCCACTACTGGGAGGTGTCTCCAAGTTAGACTATACCAGGGTCAGGGACCCACTTGAGGGGCCAGTCTGTCTGTTGTCAGAGCTCAAACACCGTGCTGGGAGAACCACTGCTCTCTTCAGAGCTGTCAGACAGGGACGTTTAAGTCTGCAGAAATTTCTGCTGCCTTTTGTTCAGCTATCCCCTGCCCCCAGAAGTGGAGTCTACAGAGGCAGACTGGCCTCCTTGAGCTACGGTGGACTCCACCCAGTATGAGCTTCCAGGCCACTCTGTTTAGCTACTCAAACCTCAGCAATGGCAGACGCCCCTCCCCCAGCCAGGCTTGCTACCTGGCAGTTCAAACTCAGACTAGCAGTGAGCAAGTCTCCTTAGGCATGGGACCCGCTGAGCCAGGCACAGGATATAATCTCCTAGTGTGCCATTTGCTGAGACCTTGGAAAAGTGCAGTGCTTAGGTGGCAGTGTCCCAATTTTCCCGGTACAGTCTGTCACAGCTTCCCTTAGCTAGGAAAGGGAAATCCCCCAACCCCTGGCAATTCCCAGATGAGGCAATGCACCATCCTGCTTCAGCTCATCCTCTGTGGGCTGTATCCACTTTCCGACCAGTCCCAGTGAGATGAACCAGGGACCTCAGTTGGAAATGCAGAAATCACCCATCTTCTGCTTCAATCATGCTGGGAGCTGCAGACTGCATCTGTTCCTATTCGGCCATCTTGGAACATAAAACAGGCCTGCATTACAAGAGCTCCTGAAGGAAGTGCTAAACATGGAAAGGAACAACCGGTACCAGCCACTGCAAAAACATGCCAAATTGTAAAGACCATTGATGATAGGAAGAAACTGAATCAACTAATGGGCAAAATAACCAGCTAACATCATAATGACAGGATCAAATTCACACATAACCATATTAACCTTAAATGTAAATGGGCTAAGTGCCCCAATTAAAAGACACAGACTGGCGAATTGGATAAGGAGTCAAGATCCATCAGTGTGCTCTATTCAGGAGATGCATCTCATGTGCAGAGACACACATAGGCTCAAAATAAAGGGATGGCAGAAGATCTACCAAGAAAATGGAAAGCCAAAAAAAGCAGGGGTTGCATTCCTAGTCTCTGATAAAACAGACTTTAAACCAACAAAGATCAAAAGAGACAAAGAAGGCCATTACATAATGGTAAAGGGATCAATTCAACAAGAAGAGCTAACTATCCTAGATATATATGCACCCAATACAGGAGCACCCAGATTCATAAAGCAAGTCCTGAGTGACCTAAAAACAGACTTACACTCCCACACAATAATAATGGGAGACTTTAACACCCCGCTGTCCATAGTGGACAGATCAACGAGACAGAAGGTGAACCAGGATATCCAGGACTTGAACTCTGCTCTGCACCAAGCAGACCTAATAGACATCTACAGAACTCTCCACCCCAAATCAACAGAATATACATTCTTCTCAGCACCACATAGCACTTATTCCAAAATCAACCACATAGTTGAAAGTAAAGGACTCCTCAGCAAATGTAAAAGAACAGAAATCATAACAAACTGTCTCTCAGACCACGATGCAATCAAATTACAACTCAGGATTATGAAACTCACTCAAAACCACACAACTACATGGAAACTGAACAACCTGCTCCTGAATGACTACTGGGTAAATAACTAAATGAAGGCAGAAATAAAGATGTTCTTTGAAACCAATGAGAATAGAGACAAAACATACCATTGATAGACCACTAGCAAGACTAATAAAGAAGAAAAGAGAGAAGAATCAAATAGATGCAATAAAAAATGATAAAGGGGATATCACCACCAATCTCACAGAAATACAAACTACCATCAGAGAATACTATAAACACCTCTATGCAAATAAACTAGAAAATCTAGAAGAAATGGATAAATTCCTTGACACATACACCCTCCCAAGACTAAACCAGGAAGAAGTCGACTCACTGAATAGACAAATAACAGGTTCTGAAATTGAGGGAATAAATAATAGCCTACCAAGCAAAAAAAGTCCAGGACCATACGGATTCACAGCCGAATTCTACCAGAGGTACAAAGAGGAGCTGGTACCATTCCTTCTGAAACTATTCCAATCAAATAGGAAAAGAGGGAATCCTCCCTAACTCATTTTATGAGGCCAGCATCATCCTGATACCAAAGCCTGGCAGAGACACAACAAAAAAAGAGAATTTTAGACCAATATCCCTGATGAACATCGATGCAAAAATCCTCAATAAAATATTGGCAAACTGAAGCCAGCAGCACATCAAAAAGCTTATCCACCAAGATCAAGTTGGCTTCATCCCTGGGATGCAAGGCTGGTTCAACATATGCAAATCAATAAATGCAATTCATCACATAAACAGAGCCAAAGACAAAAACCACATGATTATCTCAATAGATGCAGAAAAGGCCTTCGACAAAATTCAACAGCTCTTCATGCTAAAAACTCTCAGTAAACTAGGTATTGTTGGAACCTATCTCAAAATAACAAGAGCTATTATGACAAACCCACAGCCAGTATCATACTGAATGGGCAAAAACTAGAAGCATTCCCTTTGAAAACTGGCACAAGACAGGGATGTCCTCTCTCACCACTCCTATTCAACATAGTGTTGGAAGTTCTGGCCAGGCCAATCAGGCAAGAGAAAGAAATAAATGGTATTCAATCAGGAAAAGGGAAAGTCAAATTGTCTCTGTTTGCCAATGACATGATTGTATATTTATAAAACCCCATCATCTTCACTTATGAAGCTTAGTTTGGCTGAATATGAAATTCTGGGTTGAAAATTCTTTTCTTTAAGAATGTTGAATATTGGCTCCCACTCTCTTCTGGCTTGTAGAGTTTCTGCTGAGAGATCTGCTGTTAGTCTGATGGGCTTCCCTTTGTGGGTAACCCGACCTTTCTCTCTGGCTGCCCTTAAGCTTTTTTCCTTCATTTCAACTTTGGTGAATCTGACAATTATGTGTTTGGAGTTGCTCTTCTCGAGGAGTATCTTTGTGGCGTTCTCTGTATTTCCTGAATCTGAACGTTGGCCTGCCTTGCTAGATTGGGGAAGTTCTCCTGGATAATATCCTGCAGAGTGTTTTCCAACTTGGCTCCATTCTCCCCGCCACTTTCAGGTACACCAATCAGATGTAGATTTAAAATACTTTAAAGACAAGCAAATGCTGAGAGATTTTGTCACCACCAGGCCAGCCCTAAAAGAGCTCCTGAAGGAAGCACTAAACATGGAAAGGAACAACCAGTACCAGCCACTGCAAAGTCACGCCAAATTGTAAAGACCATAGAGGCTAGGAAGAAACTGCATCAACTAACAAGCAAAATAACCAGCTAACATCATAATGACAGGATCAAATTCACACATAACAATATTAACTTTAAATGTAAATGGACTAAATGCTCCAATTAAAAGACACAGACTGGCAAATTGGATAAAGAGTCACGACCCATCAGTGTGTTGTATTCAGGAAACCCATCTCATGTGCAGAGACACACATAGGCTCAAAATAAAAGGATGGAGGAAGATCTACCAAGCAAATGGAAAACAAAAAAAGGCAGAGGTTGCAATCCTAGTCTCTGATAAAACAGACTTTAAACCAACAAAGATCAAAAGAGACAAAGAAGGCCATTACATAATGGTAAAGGGATCAATTCAACAAGAAGAGCTAACTATCCTAAGTATATATGCACCCAATACAGGAGCACCCAGATTCATAAAGCAAGTCCTGAGTGACATAAATAGAGACTTAGACTCCCGAACAATAATAATGGCAGACTTTAACGCCCCACTGTCAACATTAGACAGATCAACGAGACAGAAAGTTAACAAGGATACCCAGGAATTGAACTCAGCTCTGCACCAAGCGGACCTAATAGACATCTACAGAACTCTCCACCCCAAATCAACAGAATATACATTTTTTTCAGCACCACACCACACCTATTCCAAAATTGACCACATAGTTGGAAGTAAAGCTCTCCTCAGCAAATGTAAAAGAACAGAAATTAAAACAAACTGTCTCTCAGACCACAGTGCAATCAAACTAGAACTCAGGATTAAGAAACTCACTCAAAACCACTCAACTATGTGGAAACTGAACAACCTGCTCTGAATGACTACTGGGTACATAACGAAATGAAGGCAGAAATAAAGATGTTCTTTGAAACCAATGAGAACAAAGACACACCATACCAGAATCTCTGGGACACATTCAAAGCAGTGTGTAGAGGGAAATTTATAGCACTAAATGCCCACAAGAGAAAGCAGGAAAGATCCAAAATTGACACCCTAACATCACAATTAAAACAACTAGAAAAGCAAGAGCAAACACATTCAAAAGCTAGCAGAAGGCAAGAAATAACTAAAATCAGAGCAGAACTGAAGGAAATAGAGACACAAAAAACCCTTCAAAAAATTAATGAATCCAGGAGCTGGTTTTTTGAAAGGATCAGCAAAATTGATAGACCACTAGCAAGACTAATAAGGAAGAAAAGAGAGAAGAATCAAATAGATGCAATAAAAAATGATAAAGGGGATATCGCCACCAATCCCACAGAAATACAAACTACCATCAGAGAATACTACAAACACCTCTACGCAAATAAACTAGAAAATCTAGAAGAAATGGATAAATTCCTCCACATATACACCCTCCCAAGACTAAACCAGGAAGAATTTGAATCTCTGAATAGACCAATAACAGGAGCTGAAATTGTGGCAATAATCAATAGCTTACCAACCAAAAAGAGTCCAGGACCAGATGGATTCACAGCCGAATTCTACCAGAGGTACAAGGAGGAGCTGGTACCATTCCTTCTGAAACTATTCCAATCAATAGAAAAAGAGGGCATCCTCCCTAACTCATTTTATGAGGCCAGCATCATCCTGATACCAAAGCCGGGCAGAGACACAACCAAAAAAGAGAATTTTAGACCAATATCCTTGATGAACATTGATGCAAAAATCCTCAATAAAATACTAGCAAACCAAATCCAGCAGCACGTCAAAAAGCTTATCCACCATGATCAAGTGGGCTTCATCCCTGGGATGCAAGGTTGGTTCAATATATGCAAATCAATAAATATAATCCAGCATATAAACAGAACCAAAGACAAAAGCCACATGATTATCTCAATAGATGCAGAAAAGGCCTTTGACAAAATTCAACAACCCTTCATGCTAAAAACTCTCAATAAATTAGGTATTGATGGGACGTATCTCAAAATAATAAGGGCTATCTATGACAAATCCACAGCCAATATCATACTGAATGGACAAAAACTGGAAGCATTCCCTTTGAAAACTGGCACAAGACAGGTAAGCCCTCTCTCACCACTCCTATTCAACATAGTGTTGGAAGTTCTGGCCAGGGCAATCAGGCAGGAGAAGGAAATAAAGGGTATTCAATTAGGAAAAGAGGAAGTCAAATTGTCCCTGTTTGCAGATGACATGATTGTATATCTAGAAAACCCCATTGTCTCAGCCCAAAATCTCCTTAAGCTGATAAGCAACTTCAGCAAAGTCTCAGGATACAAAATCAATGTACAAAAATCACAAGCATTCCTATACACCAATAACAGACAAACAGAGAGCCAAATCATGAGTGAACTCCATTCACAACTGCTTCAAAGAGAATAAAATACCTAGGAATCCAACTTACAAGGGACATGAAGGACCTCTTCAAGGAGAACTACAAACCACTGCTCAACGAAATAAAAGAGGATACAAACAAATGGAAGAACATTCCATGCTCATGGGTAGGAACAATCAATATCGTGAAAATGGCCATACTGCCCAAGGTAATTTATAGATTCAAAGCCATCCTCATCAAGCTATCCATGACTTTCTTCGCAGAACTGGAAAAAACTACTTTAAAGTTCATATGGAACCAAAAAAGAGCCTGCATTGCCAAGACAATCCTAAGCGAAAAGAACAAAGCTGGAGGCATCACGCTACCTGACTTCAAACTATACTACAAGGCTACAGTAACCAAAACAGCATGGTACTGGTACCAAAACAGAGATATAGACCAATGGAACAGAACAGAGGACTCAGAAATAACACCACACATCTACAACCATCTGATCTTTGACAAACCTGACAAAAACAAGCAATGGGGAAAGGATTCCCTATTTAATAAATGCTGCTGGGAAAACTGGCTAGCCATATGCAGAAAGCTGAAACTGTATCCCTTCCTTACACCTTGTAGAAAAATTAATTCAAGATGGATTAAAGACTCAAATGTTAGACCTAAAACCATAAAAACCCTAGAAGAAAACCTAGGCAATACCATTCAGGACATAGGCATGGGCAAGGACCTCATGAGTAAAATACCAAAACCAATGGCAATGAAAGCCAAAATAGACAAATGAGATTTAATTAAACTAAAGAACTTCTGCATAGCAAAAGAAACTACCATTAGAGTGAACAGGCAACCTACAGATTTTTGCAATCTACCCATCTGACAAAGGGCTAATATCAAGAAACTACAAAGAACTTAAACAAATTTACAAGAAAAAATCAAACAACCCCATCAAAAAGTGGGCAAAGGATCTGAACAGACACTTCTGAAAAGAAGACATTTATGCAGCCAAAAGACACATGAAAAAATGCTCATCATCACTGGTCATCAGAGAAATGGAAATCAAAACCACAATGAGATACCATCTCACACCAGTTAGAATGGGGATCATTAAAAAGTCAGGAAACAACAGGTGCTGGAGAGGACGTGGAGAAATAGGAACACTTTTACACTGTTGGTGGGACTGTAAACTAGTTCAACCATTGTGGAAGACAGTGTGGCAATTCCTCAAGGATCTAGAACTAGAAATACCATTTGACCCAGCCATCCCATTACTGGGTATATACCCAAAGGATTATAAATCATGCTACTATAAAGACACATCCACACGTATGTTTATTGTGGCACTATTCACAATAGCAAAGACTTGGAATCAACCCAAATGTCTATCAATGGTGACTGGATTAAGACAATGTGGCACATATATACCATGGAATCCTATGCAGCCATAAAAAAGAATGAGTTCATGTTCTTTGTAGCAACATAGATGAAGCTGGAAACCATCATTCTGAGCAAACTATGGCAAGGACAGAAAACCAAATACCACATGTTCTCACTCATAGGTGGGAATTGAACAATGAGAACACTTGGACACAGGGCAGGGAACATCACAGACCAGGGCCTGTTGTGGGGTGGGGGGATGGGGGAGGGATAGCATTAGGAGAAATACCTAATGTAAATGACAAGTTAATGGGTACAGCAAACCAACATGGCAAATGTATATATGTATGTAACAAACCCACACGTTGTGCACATGTATCCTAGAACTTAAAGTATAATAAAAATAAATAAATAAATAAATAAAAGTAGATACAACTCTATGCCTACAAGAAACATATTAAATATAAGATGCTACCTATAGGAAACACATTAAAGATGCCTACAATAAATTTACATTAAATCTAAAAATATAAACATGTTATAAGCAAAAATATGGAAAGACATAGCATGCATAAACTAATTAAAGAAAGTTAAAATACCTAAAATAAGATAAAATAGATTTTAAAACCTAGGATAAAGAGCTACCGGGCTAAAGAGTGACTTACATAATGTTAAAGCAGTGAACTCATTGAGAATGCATACAAATCCTAAATGTATATTCAACAAATACATAAGATATATAAAATAAAATAAGATGAACACTGATAAAAAAGAAAATGGAAAGTTCACAAATATACTTGGAGATATCAACTCTCTTTTATCAATATTTAATCTAATAATTAGACAGAAAATGAGTATCTGAAGTCCTGAAAAATCCTAAGACCAATCTGACCAAATTAATATTTAGGGCGGCTTCTCCCAACTATTGCATAAGTCATATTCATTTCATGTGCATGTGTCCCAATATAAACCATATCTTGGGCAATAATTAAAATGTCAAAAATTTTTCAGGTTGTAATAGTATAAAAAATATTTGATGAAAATAAGACAAAAGTGAATGATAACTGGAAATTGCCTAAGTATTTGGAAATTAAATAATGTACTTTAAATAATTCATAAGTCAAATAAATCACACAAAAATATTAAAAATATATTGAAGTGAATACAAATAAAAATGCAATCTACCAAAGTTTGTGAGATACAGCTGAAGCAATAATTATGAGGAATTTTTCAACATTATATGTTAATATCAGAAAACATTAAATATCCAAATCAATAAGTCTAATATATCCAAAGAGGGCATAAAGGAGAAAAATTAAGATAAGAGGTCAATAAAGTTGAAATAAATAACTAAAAATTTTAGAAATCAATAAAACCACAATCTAGTTTTTTGAAAATACCAATATAATTGACTGGTCTGTAACCTGACTGATCAAAGAAAAAAAACGTACGACACAAATTACTAACAACAGGAATGTAAAGAGACATCACAGAATCCTACTGTTTCTACAGAAGTTAAAATAGAAATAAGAAAGTATTATAAACAAATTCATGCCCTTAAATTTGATAACATGTCTTGAAAAAGTCAAATTCCCTGAAAAATGCAAAATCCCAAGCCCAATTATTGAAAACTGGGTAATCTGAGTAGTCTTAACATCTATTAGAGAATCTAAATTTGAAGACCTCCCCAAACTCTTCCAGAAAATAGAGAAATAGAAAACACATCCCAACTCATTTTATGAAGCCAACATTTTCTTTATAGCAAAACAAGAAAATGGCATTTAAAAAACTCCTAAACACCAATATTCCTTGTAAACCTAAGCACAAAATTCCTTAAAGATGTATTATCAAATTGAATCTAATAACATATTTTAAAAGTAACAACCAATGGGGTTTGCTCCAGGAATCATAGTTTGTTCAACATTAGAAAAATCAATCAATGAAATTATTCATAAAACAGACTGAAAAAGAACAATCATATGACAGAAATAGAAAAAGTATTTTACAAAATTTAACACTGTTCATAACAAACTCTCTCAGCAAACTAAGAAGAGAAAGGTTCTTCCTCAATCTGACAAGGGACATCTATAAAATACTTATAGCATCATAGTTTATGGTAAAGATGGAATGTTTTTATACTAATATCAAGAGCAAGACAGCTGGGCACGGTGGCTCACGTCTATAATCCCAGCACTTTTGGGAGGCCAAGGCAGGTGGATCACCTGAGGTCAGGAGTTCGAGACCAGCCTGGCCAACATGGTGAAACCGTGTCTCTACTAAAAATGTAAAAATTAGCTGGGCGTGGTGGTGGGTGACTGTAATCCCAGCTACTCGGTAGGCTGAGGCAGGAGAACTGCTTGAACCCGGGAGGCGGAGGTTGCAGTGAGACAAGAAGAAGCCATTACATTTCAGCCTGGGTGACAAAGGCGAAACTCCATAAAAATAAAAATAAATAAATAAATAAATAAATAAATAAATAAAGAGCAGACAAGGATATTTGCTCCCACCATCACTGTTAATCATTTCACTGGAGGTTCTAGTCAGGTCAATAAGGCAAGAAAATGAAATAGAAGATACACATATTGAAAAGGAAGCAACAAAACTGTTATTTTTGTAACGTGTATACATGTAGACAACATAACCATCTACACAGAAAATTTCAGATAAGCTATCACAACTAATGGATGAGTTTTTAGCAAATCCACAGAGTATGAAGTCAATATGAAATTGAATTATAAGTCTATTTACTAGCAGTAAACAATTAGGAATTACAATTTTAAAGTATAAGTGTTATTTGCAATAGCATTGTAAATATAAACTGTAGATAAATCTGAGAAAATATGTACATAATTTGCAAACTATAAATCATTGATAAGAGAAAATAAGGAATATCTACACAGAGAAAAATATTGTGAATATTGTGTTTATAAATTAGCAGACTTGATAATATTAAGGTGTCACTTCTCCCCAAATTGATCTTAAAGTTCAGTGCAATCACAATCAAATTCCCAGCAGAATTTTCTGTAGAAATTGACAAGCTGGTTTACCATTAATATGAAAAATCAAAGAACCTAAAACCATCTACAGAAAGAAGAAAGCCTGGAGTCTAATATTAATATTATCTTATTTCAACACATACTATAAAGACTACATTAATCAAAATAGTGTGGCATTGGCATAGGTTATAGACCATTAAATACACAGATAAGCAAACACATCTAAAGTCAATTGTGTTTTAACAAAAATGCCAAAGCATTCCAATGGGAAGTCAAAATTCATTCGAACAAATGATTCTGGGACAATTGCACAATGATACATAATATAAAATTAAACAAAAAATTAACCTTATTCCATAACTAGTTTGAATAATCAACTTTAAATGAATGATATACTTAATGTAAATCCTAAATTATAAATCTTATACGATAAAAAAGAAGAAAATTTTAACTTAGGGTTAGGCAATTTTTTAAAAGTTACAATACAAAAAGAATGAGCCATATAAAAAATAATAATTTGGGTCACATTAAAATTAAAACCTGTCTTGGAAAGGCACTACTCAAAAATTAAAAGACAAAACAGACTGTAAGAAAATATTGGTAAAACACCTATCTGATATACTGCTTGTAAAGGACCTGTATAGTGTGTGTGTGTGTGTGTGTGTGTGTGTGTGTGTGTGCATAAAATTACAAATTAATAAAACAATCCAATAAAAATGTGCAAAAGATATGAACACTGAATTCATTGATGATAATATATAAACAAGCCCATAATAAGATGTTCAGCATTATTAGGGAAATGAAAATTAAAACTGGTATGTCATATTACTAGATACCTATAAAGGTGGCTAAAATAAAAAATGTGACAATACCAAGTTTCTAGCAAGGATAAGGCGAAACTGGGACTCTCATTCATTGCTGTCTAGAATGCAAACTGACACAACCACTTTTGTCTGTTCTTTTATAAACTTTAACAGACATTTATTATATAATCCAGTAATCCCACTTCAAAATTTACCAAGAGCAATAAAAACTTGTGTTCGTACACAACACAAAAATTGTATATGGACATTTGTGTTGGTTTCATTCATAATCATCAACAATTGGAAGCAACCCAAAAGTCTTTGAAATGGCAAATGGATAAACAAACCACTACATCCATAATTAAGTGTTACTCAGCAACGTTAAGAAATGAACTTCTGATTCACACAATGACATGACTTAATCACAAATGCATTATGCCAGGTGAAAGAAGCTGGTATCAAAAAACACATAATGTATGAGTCATTTATGTGATATTATGCGATAAGCAAAACTGTAGAAACTTAATTCATATCAGTGGTTGCCAAGTGTTGTTTCTAGGGAAGGAGGGTTAATGAAAAAAGGGCATGAATGTTTAGAGGTGGTGAAACTATTAACATGATTATATACGTTTATTGCATTCATCAAACTGTATACTTAAAACGGGTAAATTTTACAATATGCAAATCATGCCTTAATAAATATGACTTTGAAAAAGTGCATTTGACATAAAAATGTGTTAATAAGCCGGTCAAGTAGTTTTCTTCCCTTAATGCACATTAAAAAGAGGTATAAATGTCCCTTTGGAGATATGTGTCAAGAGTCTCTATATTTCAGAACCAGCATCAAAGCTTGAGAGTAGAATGCCATAAATTTTCTCTGATTCAGCTCTCAGCACCCTGGAGGGCACTAAATAAACAGTCCTTGCTGAATGACTATTCTTTACAGTTCCTGCAGCACAAAGTTTAGAAACCATTGACTGGAACGTAGAAAAAGGAGGTTACGAACTATAATTTCTGAGAGGGCAGAAACAAGGCCCCAGCACTGTATCCCAAGGCTTAACCTTCAAATTTAAGCACCATCAAGAGGAAATATAGCAAATAAATCAGGAAACTATAAATTCCAGCCTGTTTGTTCTTATTCTTCCTCATTGATAGCTCATCTCCCTGTATCTTTACCACACCCCTCACACACACACGCACACACCCCTACCAGTACTACATACACTAAAACTCTTTTTTCTCACACAAGTATAAATATCTGAAAAGAGATTCATTTGCATTTTAAAAGGCTCAATGGATTAAGTTTTAGATACTAGATTTCAATCACATTTGAAATCACATTTGGGAGAAAGTTTGCCTCAACTCCCTAAACCACACCTATATGAATAGCCACTCCCCTAACCATAACACAGACCACTTTCACTCATCTTTACCTTTTTACCAAATATACACTGCACTCTGGAAAGATGTACAATGTTATCTGGATTTTAAGGGGCTCACAAAGTTAACTGACTAAGATATAGAACTTATTCCAAGTGACCTTACTATTAGTTTAATGTTTATACCTCAGAGTCAATTGACCAATTCTCCTTCGCTCTTGGAAGTGTATTTGGGAAATGTCAAGGATTTCAGGAGGCCAAATCTGGGGGCCAAAAATAACAATTTCAGAGATGACCTGCTCAATCTGTGGTAATTGTAAAATAGACTTTCAGCTCATAGGTAAAGGGTAAATTGATTGTAAAATAAATAACTTACTAAATCACCTGGGGAGAGAAGCACATAATAACTGTTCTGCTCTAACTCCAGTTACTTTACTTTCTGCATAGTTCTCTTGCTAACAGAGAAAAAAAAAAATACACGTGTTTTTGGGAGTCAGGCTCTTCATCAGAACACTCAGGTCAATGTTTATGTTAAAAATGCAGATTTCCAAGATGGTCCAACCAGATTGTGCTTCATTTAGGTCGGGGAGAACTTTGAGATTCCCTTAAGGATTTATTCACATGATTCTGATGGTTTGCCAAATTTGAGGAATATTTACATTATTCCTCACTTTTTCTGCTCACTTCAAGTCAAAGTTGCTAACAGCTAACATTACATGGAAGCATTATACAGATATTTCACACACATTTTGAAAGCATCTCTCAGTTGGGTTTCATCCAGATTAGATTATTTACATTATCAGAAGAAGTACCTTAGCTTTATACATATAGAGCATAACAGCCCAAAATTATGACATACACAGAAGCTTAAGAATCATATGCATTAAAAAAAGAATCATATGCATTATACTAAGCAATTAACTTAAGCAGATTCAATTTGCTTCTCAAAAAATATACCTATAGTACAGATTTTAACTTTTGATCTTCCTTTAGTAGAAATCCATATTGCCTATAAAATGTTTCAAGATTTTTCAAAATCAGATTTGAAATGAGGTATAGTTTTGCTATACAAACATTTGCTTATGGGAGGCTTTAGAATCAGTCCTATTTATAAGGAAATATTTTTGGCCTCACCCTGCCTTTTGTTTTCCTTCTTACATAATATTTTGTTTTCCTTCTTATATAATATTTTGTTTTCCTTCTTATATAATATTATTCACATTTCTCCTGGAATCATCACTTCCTTATATTAGGAGTGTTAACACAAATTACAGAGTATTCTCATCTCTCCAAAACTCAAAATTCTCATTTAATTATAGTTTCCACTAATTTCATTTCTAAGGAGTTTTTCTTCTCTCAGTGCACTCTCTTTGAAAGTAAAGAAAAAAAACCATTCTTTTCACTCCCTAAAATCACATCTTTCTCTCTCCTGCACACTGAACTCTTTTGCTTTGAGCAGTGCTATAACCAAGGCTGTTTGTTTCACATTCTAGTGAGGGAATTATTTCAAGATTTAGGCTACCATAGAGATAAAGAGCTCGGGTTTTAAAATAAGACAAAAACTGAGTTTGAATCCTGACTTTTTCACTAATTGGCTATGTGGCTTTGGGCAAATCATATAATATGTCTAAACAAGGTCCTTCATGGTTCATTCTTCCTTCAACAGATAATTATAGAACGCCACTATCTGGCTCTTGTTAACCTTACCTGTGTCATCTCCCATCAACCTTATCCCACCCCTTCACCAGTTAATTTCCAGTAATAGATCATGAACAAAGCTCAAGTTCTCAATGTGCCAGGAACTTGTTGGGATCCAACTTTTTGTCCATGCTTTGTTCCATTTGCCTAGAATACACTTACAACCATCACCTCCACTTTGACCAACTCCTACTACAAAATAATGCTCAGAATTGATTTTACAATGTAATGAATAAATAGAAGCTATTTATTGTGGAAATTTAAAAGGCTTCACAGAGGAGATAAATCTCAAAGAATGGGTAGGATCATATTGGGTGAATTGAGAAGTGAAAATGCACACAGAAAATGAGCCCAAGGAAAGGAATGGGATACTATAGGTAGGAGAGTAAAGAAAGTTGAGGAGAAACTTAGTACATTGTGACTTATGTGAAGGGTATTCTCTAAGCAGAATCAATAATAGCCAAAACAGCAATTCTCTTGGCCACGGAAAAGCCATGGGTCAACTACAAGATATATTTCTTGCTAGGTTCCAAGATCTAGAAAATTTCTTCAATAAGGATACAACCCTGTTTTCCTGCCTCCTCCCCCACTGTATTTCAAGTCTCTCCTTTTTTTCCCCCTCCTTCTATCCATTCTGTGTAGCTCTTTGTATTGATGACTGCTGAAGGATCGGCCTGGCTTTCGATTGCAAGCATTTCATAGAAAGATGTCCACCTCTCAGTCTCAAAACCATTCACTGTTGTCTCTGGTAATATTTCTCACTCACACTTTACCCTGAAGTTGGACACAACAGATCCCAGCCAGAGGCCCAAACTCCCTCCTGTCGGGGTAGTGATGAGGTAATACAGTCGATCCATTTATGTGTCAACTCAGCAATCAAGTTTAAACTAGAAAATAATTCTAGAAAACTATTTTTAATTAATTTAATTTTGTAACTTAATTTTTAAAAAATTACTATAATTACTAGCTACAAGTGTGTAGCTACAATTTCTACAGGGAATTCCTACAATTTTTATGTCTTCTATAGATAAATCTGGCAACAAGCCTGCCACAAGTATTAAGATAATGTTCCTAGTATTTCTCAGTTTCAATCTTCTACTGCCAATTGTGTGTTTGTGTGTTTACATGCTTAAAAGTCACATGTGAACTCTTGGGCAGGAGACTAAATGTATTCCATTTACCAAATGAGCAATTAGGCCTGCAACTTACCACACCGTAATCTGGTAACTTCAGGACAGTATCTTACTATTCTACCTCAAATATTTCCTTTTATTATTCGAAAAACACACATAGGCAGGACTACAGAAAAACTGATTCAACAAGTGACAGAAAACTATGCACAGAGTGGCCTGAAAATGTAGAGCAGGTCTTTCTTTGGTTACACATGCTCAGCAACACTGACTATCAAGGGTGGTTTGCATTGTTTGTAGGAAAGTGGATATTTGGTAGTTTGCTAAACTTTGTGCTAAAAAAGAAGGTTAATGAAAAAGAAAAAATACAATGTGAGTTTTTTCTGAACTTCTCTTTGAGCCAATCTTGAAGACACGTGGAAGAGGACCCAGGAAACTATGAACTGTGTAGAGTTTAGCTTCATCATTCTCCCTCCTCACCACCAAACCCTCTTTCTGTGCCTGATTCTTGCCTTGATAGATCCTTATATTCTCACCTTCCTCTCTTCCTCCGATGATTAAATCCAGAAAAGGGTCTACTGTCAGTCATTTGTCCCATAGTTTAAATTTAGTTTGAAATGTTAAAACCTTAAATAGGCCAGGCACGTTGGCTCACGCCTGTAATCCCAGCACTTTGGGAGGCCGTGGTGAGTGGATCACCTGAGGTCAGTAGTTCAAAACCAGCCTGGCCAACATGCTGAAACCTCATCTCTCCTAAAAATACAAAAAAGTTAGCCGGGCATGGTGGCACATGCCTGTAATCCCAGCTATTAGGGGTGCTGAGGCAGGAGGATCATTTGAACCTGGGAGGTGGAGGTTGCAATGAGCCAAGATCGTACCATTACACTCCAGCCTGGGCAACAGAGCAAGCCTCCGTCTAAAAAAAAAAAAAAAACCCTAAATAAAGTTGGAATGAAATGCTTTGTTTCCTGCTGAAAAAATTTAAAACATCAACAAAAAAGTTGAAGAAGCAGAGAACCTACCCAGTAAATTATACTATAGGAGCAGTTAATAATCTCTTTTATTTAAATAATTATCTATGAAATGATATTTTTAAAAGATATTTATTCAAGTTTTCAAGTTCTTAAGACTTTTCTCAGACTGCGTCTTATCCACTACCTTACTGTAAAAGTAAATTTATTTGAGAGTATCAATTAGAAAATACTTAAATTGTATATTTGGCCGAAAGTCATAATAAAGTAAAAGAAGGGCACCAAGTGATAGCAACATTTTGCTTTTAAAAAATCACCTCTGTTACAACTATAAGCTCTCCAACTATCTACAGATTATTGATCTGGCATTTTTCAAGTCTCATAATAAATTCCTCTTCTGCAAATTCAATTAGTGTTCTGAAGCAAGTCTTTTTAGGAAACTAAATCATTTTTAGGAAAAGACAATTCTAAAGAAAACTGTAGAAAGCAAGAAAAGGCAAACAATTTTTAAAGTTTTTTAAAAATCTCCCTTGAATAATGTATTATTTTATTATATAAGCACTGTATGGTAATTGTATAAAAATTAGAAATAAAAAAAATCACCTTTAATTCCACCATCTAAAAAAATAACTGTCATTGGCACTTTGGTATATAGACTTTCATATTTTTCTACACATATCTATATTACAAATTAGACATTACATTCAAAGTTATAATTGATAGATAAGAACTTACTCTTGTTATTTTGTTAATGATTTTTTTGTTTGTTTTGTATATCCTTTATTCTTTTCTTTCTCTACTGTTATTTACCTTTATGATTTGAGGCTTTTCTGTGCTACTAAGCTTTGTTTTATTTCTCTTACTCCTTTATGTATTTGCTGTAATTTCTTTACTTTGTGATTATTACAGGGTTAACAAAAGGAGTCTTGTAGTTGTAATATACTATTTTAAGATAATAACAACTTAATCTTGATTGTATAAAAATTAAGACCCCATATTCTCAGGAAATAGTGAGTATACATAGTAAACATAATTTGACAAAGGAATATGCAACCACTTCATGTACAATGCACATGCAAAGTACCATGATTTATACATACCGTTCAAAGATCGATACCTAAATTATCAATAAGATTTAAGAATTGATGCTATAGAATATATTTAAGTGAATATTCATCATTTAAATGAATAAACTTTAGTTTTCTTAAAAATACTATTTTCTATAAACTGGGCTGTCAATTAAATAGCTGCTAGCCACATGTAGCTATCAAATAGTTGAAATGTCAATAGTATGAGAAAATAAAACTTTAATAAAATTAAAAATTTTTATACATACTTTAAGTACCAGGATACACATGCAGGGTGTGCAGGTTTGTTACATAGGTAAACATGTGCCATGGTGCTTTGCTGCACCTATCAACCCATCACCCTCCCCCCAACATCTAGAGGCCCCAGTGTGTGTTATTCCCCTCCCTGTGTCCATGTGTTCTCAGTGTTCAGCTGCCACTCATGAGTGAGAATACGCAGTGTTTGATTTTCTGTTCCTGCATTAGTTTGCTGAGGATAATGGCTTCCAGCTCCATCCATGTCCCTGCAAAGGATATGATCTTGTTCTTTTTTATGGCTACATAGCATTCCATGGTGTATATATATGACATCTTCTTTATCCATTCTATCGTTGATGGGCATTTGGATTGATTTCATGTGTTTCATGGTGAAACCCTGTCTCTACTAAAAATACAAATATTAGCTGGGTGTGGCAGCTTATGCTTGTAATTTTAGCTACTCGGGAGGCAGAGGTAGGAAAATTGTTTGAACCGGGGGTGGAGGTTGCAGTGAGTTGTGAATAGTGTTGCAATGAACATATACATGCATGGATATTTATAATAGAATAATTTATATTCCCTTGAGTATATACCCAGTAATAGGATTGCTGGGTCAAATGATATTTCTGGTTCTTGGTCTTTGAAGAATTGCCACACTGTCTCCCACAATGGTTGAGCTAACTTACATTCCCAGCAAGAGTGCAAAAGTGTTCCTATTTCTCCATACCATCACCAGGATCTGTTGTTTCTTGATTTTTTCATAGTTGCCATTCTGAGAGGTGTAGGATGGTATCTCACTGGGGTTTTGATTTGCATTTCTCTAATGATCAGTAGTGTTGAGCTTTTTTTTCATAAGTTTGTTTGCTGCATAAATGTCTTCTTTTGAGACGTGTCTGTTCATGTCTTTTGTCTACTTTCTAACTGGTTGTTTTTTTTCTCATTAATTTGTTTACACGTGAGATGGGTCTTGAATAAAGCACACTGCTGAGTCTTGACTGTTTATCCAGCTTGCCATTCTGTGTCTCTTAATTGAGTATTTAGCCCATTTACATTTAAGGTTAATATTGTTATATGTAAACTTGGTTCTGTCATCATGATGCTAGCTGTTTATTTTGCAGACTTGTTGATGTAGCTGCTTCATAGTGTCATTGGTCTGTGTACTTCAGGGTGTTTTTGTAGTGACTGGTAATGGTTTTTTTCTTTCCAGATTTAGTGCTTCCTTCAGGCACTCTTCTAAATGTTAAAACTAAAAACCATTTGGCAGGACTACATTTCCTTTCAACCTTTTAATATAATAAGGTAGTATTTTTTTTTGCAGTTTACATGTAGGAAAAATACATGGTTTCACATATTACACATAAACATATTGCTGATCTATTGGTGTCAATTGATTCAATTTGAATCATTTTTCTAGGCAGAAATATAACATTATAGTATATTTATTTGAATATTGTATGCAGTCACTGTGAGTCAAAGTGATACATGTAAATCACATTTGGTAATTAAATGAAAGTATTAATTAAAATTTAAATCAGAATAAAAATTAATTTTACACTTAAAAAATAAGTATGGACACATCTTTAAATTTAAAATATAGGGTTACTGCCAGGTGTGGGGGCTCATGACTGTAATCCCAACACTGTGGGAGGCTGAGGCAGATGGATCACCTGAGGTCAGGAGTTTGAGACCAGCCTGGCCAACATGGTGAAACCCTGTCTCTACTAAAAATACAAATATTAGCTGGGTGTAGCAGCTCATGACTGTAATTTTAGCTACTCGGGAGGCAGAGGCAGGAAAATTGTTTGAACCTGGGGGTGGAGGTTGCAGTGAGTTGAGATCATGCCACTGCATTCCAGCCTGGGTGATGGAGTGAGACTCTGTCTCAAAAAATAAAATAAAATATATGGTTATAATGGATACACAATTAAATGAAGATGCAGAAGCTGGTACTATCACAGAAACAGTAAAGACAAAAGAGACTGGAAGGAGACATAAGTTTCACAAAAAATGTCAATTGAAATTTTCTGTATCATAATAAAAGAAAGGAGATTTTTGAGTACAAAATAGAAATAAGAAATTAGAGGATTTCTGGCAAGATGGCCAAATAGAAACGGCTCCGTTCTGCAGCTCCCAGCAAGATTGACACAGAAGATGTGTGTTTCTGCATTTCCAACTGAGGTACCTGGTTCATCTCATTGGGACTGGTTGGACAGTGGGTGTAGCCCACAGAGGGCAAGCTGAAGCAGGGTGGGGTATTGCCTCACCTAGGAAGCACAAAAGGTCAGGGGATTTCCCCTTCCTAGCCAAGGGAAGCCCTGAGAGACTACACCAGGAAGAATGGTACACTTCTGCCCAGATTCTGCGCTTTTCCCAGTCTTCAGAACCAGCAGACCAGGAGATTCCCTTTGGTGCCTGGCTCAGTGGGTCCCATGCCCATGGAGCCCAGCAAGCTAAGATCCATTGGTTTGAAATTCCTGCTGCTAGCACAGCAGTCTGAGAGTGACCTGGGACTCTGGAGCTTGGTGGGGTAGGGGTGTCTGCCATTGCTGAGGCTTGAGTAGGCACTTTTATGCTAACAGTGTAAACAATGTGGCAGGGAAGCTCGAACACGGCGGAGCCCACCGCAATTCAGCAAAGCCGACTGCCTCTCTAGATTCCACCTCTGTGGGCAGGGCATCTCTGAACAAAAGGTAGCAGCCCTAGTCAGTGACTTATAGATAAATCCCCCATCTCCTTGGAACAGAGTACCTGGGGAAAGAGGCTGTTGTGGACACAGCTTCAGCAAACTTAAACATCCCTGCCTGACAGCTCTGAAGAGAGAAGAGGTTCTCCCAGCACAGTGTTCTCACTCTGATAACAGACAGACTGCCTTCTCAAGTGGGTCCCTGACCCCCGTGTAGCCTGACTAGGAGACACCTCCCACCAGGGGCTGACAGACACCTCATACAGGAGAGCTCTGGCTGGCATCTGGTGGGTGCCCCTCTGGGACGAATCTTCCAGAGGAAGGATCAGGCAGCAATATTTGCTGTTCTGCAGCCTCCACTGGTGATACCCAGGCAAACAGGGTATGGAGTGGACCCCCAGCAAACTCCAGCAGATCTGCAGCTGAGAGGACTGACTGCTAGAAGGAAAACTAACAAACAGAAAGGAATAGCATCAACATCAACAAAAAGGACATTCACACCAAAACCCCATCCATAAGTCACCAGCATCAAAGATCAAAGGTAGATAAAACCACAAAGATGGGGAGAAACCAGTGCAGAAAGGCTGAAAATTCCAAAAACAGAATGCCTCTTCTCCTCCAAATGATCACAACTGCTGGCCTGCAAGGGAACAAAACCAGACAGAGAGTTTTGACAAATTGATGGAAGTAGGCTTCAGAAGGTGGGTAATAACAATCTCCTCTGAGCTAAAGGAACATGTTCTAACCCAACGCAGGGAAGCTAAGAACCTTGAAAAAAGGTTAGACGAATTGCTAATTAGAATAACCTGTGTAGAGAAGAACATAAATGACCTGATGGAGCTGAAAAATACAGCACGAGAACTTCGTGAAACATCCACAAGCTTCGTTAGCCAAATCGATCAAGCAGAAGAAAGGATATCAGTGTTTGAAGATCAAATTAATGAAATAAAGCAAGAAGACAAGATTAGAGAAAAAAGAGTGAAAAGAAACAAACAAAGCCTTCAAGAAATATGGGACTATGTGAAAAGACCAAACCTATATTTGATTGACATACCTAAAATTGACCAGGAGAATGGAACCAAGTAAGAAAACACTCTTCAGGATATTATCCACGAGAACTTCCCCAACCTAGCAAGGCAGGCCAACATTCAAATTAAGGAAATACAGAGAACACCACAAAGATATTCCTTGAGAAGAGCAAACTCAAGACACATAATCGTCAGATTCACCAAGGTTGAGATTAAGGAAAAAATGTTAAGAGTAGCCAGAGAGAAAGGTCAGGTTACCAACAAAGGGAAGCCCACCAGACTAACAGCAGATCTCTTGGCAGAAACCTTACACCCAGAAGAGAGTGGGGACCAATATTTAACATTCTTAAAGAAATAATTTTCAACCCAGAATTTCATATCCAGCCAAACTAACCTTCATAAGTGAAGGAGAAATAAAATCCTTTACAGACAAGCAAATGATGAGCGATTTTGTCACCACCAGGCCTGCCTTAAAAGAGCTCCTGAAGGAAGCACTAAATATGGAAAGGAAAAACTCGTACCAGCCATTGCAAAAACATGCCAAATTGTAAAGAGTATCAATGCTATGAAGAAACTGCATCAACTAATGGTCAAAATAACCAGCTAGCATCATAATGACAGGATCAAATTCACACATAACAATATTAACCTTAAATGTAAATGGGCTAAATGCCCCAATTAAAAGACACAGACAGGCAAATTACCTAGAGTCAAGAACTCTCAGTGAGCTGTAGTCAGGAGACCAATCTCATGTGCAAGGACAGACATAGGCTTAAAATAAAGGGATGTAGGAAGATCTACCAAGCAAATGGAAAGCCAAAAAAAAACACAAAAAACAAAAAACAGAGGTTGTAATCCTAGTCTCTGATAAAACAGACTTTAAACCAACAAAGATCAAAAAAGACAAAGAAAGGCATTACATAATGATAAAGGGATCAACACAACAAGAAGAGCTAACTATCCTAAATATATGAGCACCCAATACAGGAGCACTCAGGTTCATAAAGCAAGTCCTTAGAGACCTACAAAGAGACTTAGACTCCACACAATAATAGTGGGAGACTTTAACACCCCACTGTTAGTATTAGACAGATCAGCGAGACAGAAAATTAACAAGGATATCCAGGACTTGAACTCAGCTCTGGACCGAGTGGACCTAATAGACATCTACAGAACTCTTCACCCCAAATCAACAGAATATACATTCTTCTCAACACCACATTACACTTATTCTAAAATTGACCACATAATTGGAAGTAAAACACTCCTCAGCAAACATAAAAGAACAGAAATCACAACAAACAGTCTCTCAGACCACAGCACAATCAAATTAGAACTCAGGATTAAGAAACTCACTCAAAACTTCACAACTACATGGAAACTGAACAACCTGCTCCTGAATGACTACTGGGTAAATAATGAAATAAAGGCAGAAATAAAGATGTTCTTTGAAACCAATGAGAACAAAGGCAATGTACCAGAATCTCTGGGACACATTTAAAGCAGTGTGTACATTTATAGCATTAAATGCCCACAAGAGAAAGCAGGAACAATCTAATCAAAACACACTAACATTAAAATTATAATAACTAGACAAGCACAAGCAAACAAATTCAAAAGCTAGCAGGAAACCAGAAATAACGAAGATCAGAGCAGAACTGAAGGAGATAGAGACATAAAAAACCTTTAAAAAAATCAATAAATCCAGGAGCCATTTTTTGAAAAGATCAAGAAAATTGATAGACTGCTAGCAAGACAAATAAAGAAGAAAGAGAGAAGAATCAAGTAGATGCAAAAAAATGATAAAGCGGGTATCACCACCGATCCCACAGAAATACAAACTACCATCAAAGAATACTATAAACACCTCTACGCAAATAAGCTAGAAAATCTAGAAGAAATGGATAAATTCCTGGACACATAGACCCTTCCAAGACTAAATCAGGAAGAAGTCAAATCTCTGAATAGACCAGTAACAGGTTCTGAAATTGAGGCAATAATTAATAGCCTACCAACCAAAAAAGTCCAGGACCAGACAGATTCACAGCCGATTTCTACCAGAGATACAAAGAGAAGCTGGTACCATTCTTTCTGAAACTATTTCAATGAATAGAAAAAGATGGACTCCTCCCTAAATCATTTTATGAGGTGAGCATCATCTTGATACCAAAACCTGACAGAGACACAGCAAATAAAGAAAATTTTAGGCCAATATCCCTCATAAACATTGATGTGAAAATCCACAATAAAATACTGGCAAACTGAATCCAGCAGCACATCAAAAAGCTTATCCACCATGATCAAGTCAGCTTCATCCCTGGGATTCAAGGCTGGTTCAACATTCGCAAATCAATAAACGTACTCCATCACGTAAACAGAACCAATGACAAAAAACACGTGATTATCTCAATAGATGCAGAAAAGACCTTCAATAAAATTCAACAGCCCTTCATGCTAAAAACTCTGAATAAACTAGGTTGATGGAATGTATCTCAAAATAATAAGAACTATTTATGACAAATCCACAGCCAACATCATACTGAATGGGCAAAAGCTGGACGCATTCCCTTTGAAAACCGGCACAAGACAAGGATGCCCTCTCTCACCACTCCTATTCAACATAGCATTAGAAGATCTGGCCAGGGCAATCAGGCAAGAGAAATAAATAAAGCTTATAAAATTAGGAAAAGAGGAAGTCACATTGTCTCTGTTTGCAGATGACATCATTGTATATTTAGAAAACCCCATCATCTCAGCCCAGAATTTCCTTAAGCTGATAAGCAACTTCAGGAAGGTCTCAGGATACAAAATCAATGTGCAAAAATTACAAGCATTCCTATACACCTATAACAGACAAACAGAGAGCCAAGTCATGAGTGAACTCCCATTCACAATTGCTACAAAGAGAATAAAATACCTAGGAATCCAACTTACAAGGGATGTGAAGGACCTCTTCAAGGAGAACTACAAACCACTGCTCAACAAAATAAAAGAAGACACAAACAAATGGAAGAATATTCCATGCTCATGGATAGGAAGAATCAATATCGTGAAAATGGTCATACTGCCCAAAGTAATTTATAGGTTCAATGCTATCCCCATCAAGCTACCACTGACTCTCTTCACAGAACTGGAAAAAACTACTTTAAACTCCATATGGAACCAATAAAGAGTCCACATAGCCAAGACAATCCTGGGCAAGAAGAACAAAGCTGCAGGCATCACGCTACCTGACTCCAAACATTACTACAAGGCTACAGTAATCAAAACAGCAGGGTACTGGTAACAAAACAGATATACAGACCAATGGAACAGAACCGTGGCCTCAGAAATAACACCACAAATCTACAACCATCTGATCTTTGACAAACCTGAAAAAATAAGCAATAGGGAAAGGATTCACTATTTATTAATGGTGCTGGGAAAACTGGCTAGCCATATGTAGAAAGCTGAAACTGGATCCCTTCCTTACACCTTATACAAAAATTAATTCAAGATGGATTAAAGACTTAAATGTTAGGCCTAAAACCATAAAAACCCTAGAAGAAAACCTAGGCAATACCATTCAGGACATAGGCATGGGCAAGGACTTCATGACTAAAACACCAAAACCAACACAACAAAAGCCAAAATAGACAAATGAGATTTAATTAAACTAAAGAGCTTTTGCATAGCAAAAGAAACTGCCAGCAGAATGAACAGGCAACCTACCGAAAGGGAGAAAACTTTTGCAATCTATCCATCTGACAAAAGGCTAATATCCAGAATCTACACAGTACTTAAACAGATTTACAAGAAACAAACAACCCCATCAAAAAGTGGGCAAAGGATCTGAACAGACACTTCTCAAAAGAAGACATTTATGCAGCCACAAACTTATGAAAACATGCTCATCATCACTGGTCATTAGAGAAATGCAAATTAAAACCACAATGAGATACCATCTCACGCCAGTTAGAATATCGATCATTAAAAAGTCAGGAAACAACAGATGCTGGAGAGGATGTGGAGAAATAAGAACGCTTTTAGACTGTTGGTGGGAGTGTAGATTAGTTCAACCATTTCAGAAGACAGTGTAGCGACTCCTCCAGGATCTAGAACTAGAAATAACGTTTGACCCAGCAATCCCATTACTGGGTATATACCCAAAGGAGTATAAATCATTCTACTATAAAGGCACACGCACACATATGTTTATTGCAGCACTGTTCACAATAGCAAAGTCTTGGAATCAACCCAAATGCCCATCAATGATAGACCAGATAAAGAAAATGTGGCACATATACACCATGGGATACTATGCAGCCATAAAAAAGGATGAGTTCATGTCCTTTGTAGAGACATGGATGATACTAAAAACCATCACTCTCAGCAAAGTAACACAAGAAGAGAAAACCAAACACTGCATGTTCTCACCCATAAGTGGGAGTTGAACAATGAGAACACATGGACACAGGAAGAGGAGCATCACAAACTGGGGCCTGTCAGTGGGTGGGGGGCTAGGGGAGGGATAGCATTAGGAGAATACCTAGTGTAAATGACAAGTTGATGGGTGCAGCAAACCAACATGGCACATGTATACCTATATAACCTGCACATTGTGCACATGTACCCCAGAACTCAAAGTACATATAAAAAAAAGAAATTAAACAATATGAAGAGACATTTTAGCAAATACATAGTGAATTTGATGAAAATTGAAAAAGTAAATTCACCTACCTAACTTATTCTAAACATATTTTTAGATTTATCTCAGCAGTCAAAAAAAGAATGAATAAAATAATTAAATATCAAAGAATTTAAAATAATTTTAAACAAAATATGAGCTTATAACTTTAGCAATATATAATATGGTTTAGCTTGTTGCAAAATGAATAAACTGTAGATGAAGATGTGGAAAATAAATTATTTTATTTAAAAATTTTGTAAGAAAATTATGAGAAGAGTAAAATAAAGATATAAAAATATTTTAAATTACATCACCAAGCAATTATATTAGATAATCAGTTAGTTCAAAATTTGAAAATGAGTACTTTTTAAAGTTTAAGTTAATCATACAATATATGACATATTGCTTAATTAATACTTTAGGGTGGTTTTCTCTCAAAGTATTTACAATTTTCAAAAAAAAACAACAATTCACAAAACTGTAGCATCGAAAAAGCTTCTCAGCATTGATCTGGTCAATGACTTTGGATATGACACCAAAACACAGGCAAAAGAAAAAGCAAAATTAAGCAAGTAAGTTTGCATTAAATTATATTCTTAAAAATCAGTTTCACATGTTTCTTGTTACCAGTTTAATATGGCTACTAGAGGGTTTAAAGTTACATATGTGGCTCACATATTTCTTTCAATAGTACTAATCTATAAAAATATATTCCCCCTACCCTGTCTCTACTAAAAATACAAAAAAATTAGCCGGGTGTGGCAGCGTGAGCCTGTAGTCCCAGCTACTCCCTACTCAGGAGGCTGAGACAGGAAAATGGCGTGAACCCGGGAGGCGGAGCTTGCAGCAAGCCGAGTTCCTGCCGCAGCACTCCAGCCTGGGTGACAGGGCGAGAATCCGTCTCAAAATACATATATGTATTTATATATTTTTTTATTATTTATATATTTATATATAATAAATACTATATATTATATATTATACATAAAATATTATATAAAATATTTATTATATATAATATAGTATATATTATAATATATAGAAATATAACATATATAATAAAAAATCATATATATATTATATATATATTCCCCCTAAATCTTCAGATTAACTATGTCTTTAAGTTTTCTCAGACATGTTTTCCTTTTGTAGTAATTTTTCTATAAAAGGATTACAATTACTGTAGAAAACATAAAAATACATAAAAGCAAAAAGTTTTAAATCATTCATAATTGAATACATAATTATTAATATTATGATGTGTTTTCTTCTGCTCTTTTTCCAGTCAGTCTCATATATATGTGTGTGTAAATAACATATATAATTATATATATACATAATTATTATATATGCATATATAGTTATACACATATTATATGTATTCATATATACATATATGGTTATATATATAACTATTATTGTGTGTTTGTATGTGTGTGTATATATATAGTCCCCCTTCTCTCTCTCCCCCCTTTCCATTCCCCAAAGAACTAAAACAAAAGATCGTACTTTTTCCAAAAATTATTTGAGCTAACAAGAATAAATAAAAAGTAAATTTAGGTTGTAGTCAATAAAATATTAGAGAAGCTATGTTGTGGGGGGATTTAATAATTAAATGTAGGATATTCAATTTATTCTCTGTGAAGGACACTATCAAGAGAAGGAAAATCCAAGCCCAGACAAGGAGAAAATATTTGCAAAAGACATATCTATTAAAAGATTGTTAACAAAAATGTACAAAGAACTCTTAAAATTCAGTAATAAGAAAACCAACAATCAATTTAAAAATAGGCCAAAGACCTTAATACCTTACCAAAGAAGGTCTATAGATGGCAAGTAAGCATGTGAAACAATGTTCCGCATCATATGTTACCAAGGAAATACAAATGAAAACATCAATGAGGTATCACTACACACCTATTAGAGTATCCAAATCCACAACACTGACAGCAGCAAATGCTAGCAAGAACGTGCAACGAGAGGGACTCTTATTCACTGACGGTGAGGATGCAAAATGGCAGTTTCTTATAAAACTAAACATATTCTTACCATATGATCCCACAATTGCATTGCTTGGTATTTACCCAATGGAATTAAAAATTACATCTACAACAAACATGCACACAGATGTTTATAGCTGCTTTATTCATAATTACCAAAACTTGGAAGCAACAGAAATGTTCTTCAGTAAGTCAATGGATAAACAGTTGGTTCATCCAGATAATGGGATATTGTTCAGTACTAGAAATAAATGAGCTATTAAGCCATTAAAACACATGAAGGAAATTTAAGCGCATATTATTAAGTGAAAAAAGCCAATCTGGAAAAGCTACATACCATATAATTATGTCTATCTTACATTCTGGACTACAGATAAGTAAAACATTGGGGCTTCCAGGGGTTACGGTGGAGAGAGGATGAAGACATTGAACACAGAAGATTTTTAGAGTGGTAAAACTACTCTGTGTGATATTATAATGGTCAATACACATTATTACACATTTATCCAAATTCTTAGAATGTACAATAACAAGAACAAACCCAACTACAGGCTTTGGAAGACAATGAAGTGTCAGCATAGTCTCATCAATTGCAATAAATGTCCCACTCTGAGGGGTTGTTGATAATGGAAGAGGCTATGCATGTGGAGGGGCTGAGTATATACGGATAATCCGTTTGCTTTCCATTCTGTTTTGCTGTGATTCTAAAACCACTTTTTTAAGTCTATTTTTAAAAAATGAAAGATATTCCATTCTTTCTTTGAAATTTAGTAAGATTTTATTTCCTTGGATTTTGTCTCTAGACTTACCAGAAGAAGTAACATACTTTAGAAAGGGTAAGCTGTCCTATTTAAAGCCTATTGTAAGCTCTTTATAGAGAAGATAACTGAGTTAAATAATTTAAATAAACATATACAATATTAGCTCCTTGGAAGAAGAATTAGTATCTTTAATTAAATCATAAACATTTGTAAAAATATGACATATGCATTTCAAGTTATCATTCACAAACATAAAGCTTAACTCGGCATCATCACTATTGTTAGCAGTTGATAGAATATGAATCGAATATTTCTCTATGTGAAGCAAAAGCTTATGTGCCTTTGATGTCTATTTTATTTATTCAACAAATCCTATATACTATTTTTTTAAATAAAGGCAGTTTCAGGTAACTCTTAGTTACTGTGCAAAAATTAAAAAACTATGATGTGTGTGTGTATGTGTGTGTGTTTGAGGTGTTATCAAACAGGAACTTCATAACATTTTTCTGCTTATTTTGAAAAGGTGAGCTTTAGGATGGGTTCCTCATTGTAAGTGTATTATATTATTATTATATATATGTATATATATATTCACATAAAAGTTTGAAGTTTGCATGAATTGACAATTGGAGAAATTTAAACTCAATTTTTCCATGTCAAGTTTTTATTGGAAATTAACAAATCTAAAATAAAGGTTTAATAGTAACAAACCACATGCATTAACATTTGTCCCTAAACTAAAGCCTATGCAACAAAATTCATCAGAATGTGAATTTCTAATTGACAGTAACAGTTGCATTACTTAGAAATGAATTATTCACCTTATGAAAACCATCAACCTTCCAGATATATTTTCTTCTTGTTCTTCCTCCACTCCATCTATAAATGCAACAGTAGATGGGATTTCAGATATAATGTTGATATGGTTTGGCTGTGTCCCCACCAAAATCTCATCTTGAATTGTAGATCCCATAATTTCCATGTGCCATGGGAGGGACTCAGTGGGAGGTAATTGAATCATAGGGGTGGGTCTGTCTCATGGTGTTCTCATGATAGTGAATAAGTCTCACAAGAGCTGATGGTTTTATAAAGGGCAGTTCCCCTGCACATGCTCTCTTGCCTGCCACCATATAAGACATGCCTTTGCTCCTCCTTTGCCCTCCACGATGATTGTGAGGACTCCCCAGCCATGTGGAACTATGAGTCCATTAAACCTCTTTTTCTTTATAAATTACCCAGTCTTAAGTATTTCTTCATAGTAGTATGAAAATGGACTGATACAAATGTATATTTCAACACACACAAAAATGCACCACCTTTCTTTTTACAATATTTTATGGAGTAAACCAGACTTATGAACCTATGAAATTCCTTAACATAGTCAAGGGATGGAATTTCTCCTGGATCAAAGTTTTTAAAGAGTGCATCTTTCTTGTGTCTTAGGAAATCTACTTAATGTGATTAAAAGATAATAATAGCATAATTGTGACAATAGAAATAACTTTCTTGTAGCTTTGTAACTAGTAAGAAACAGAAAAGTTGTTCCCTAAAATTTTTTCGTTTTGTTGTTTGAACATAATTAATTTCATTAATTTAACCTATATATCTCTTGGTACAGAAGATGCTAATTTTACATTATATTCAATTACATTTTGTGTTTGTGGCCTTTTCTATTTTTCTTTCTATTTTCTGCTTGGCTTGTTGCATCAATAAGAAGTGATGAAGTTTAATTACATTTATGAAAATGAACTTAAAACTATTATTATTTTACACAAGTTCTAATGTCAAAGCCATTTTAGAATGAACAACAAAAGCTTATCGAATGAGTCATAGTACTTACAGCATGCCAAGTGATAGAAAGGAATTCTTATTTATTATTAGAACAGCATTAGACTTTCATAGTACAGAAAATTGATTATCCTCTCCTGATTTGTTTGTTTTCTCCATGCTCTTTGGGGCCATTACATTGCTTCCATATAATTCTCTAACTTGTTATTTCCCACTAGCAATATAGTAAAGCAATTACTTTCTTAGATGATATATTATGGTGACTTTAAACGTAATAAACTAATAGAATTGATAGTATTTAAGCTCTCATAATACAAGCTTTTTAATCTAATGAATAGTATTATACATTAAATTTCAAATGAACAGAAGCAGTAGGTCCCTGTTTGATTTCCCTTTATGTGTTATTCAGGGAATGAGGGGAGCCTGATGGGGTGGAATTTGGATAATTTAATGATGACTTACAGTATTTTTTTCTTTCTCTCTTATGTAATTCATGCATTTTGCCTTATTCAGTAATTAAAATATATGACAAAATGGAATTGCTAGAACCACAGAGTTTCAGAAAAGGAAAGAACACAAATGCATCTTATAATGCTTGACATATAGTGCTCAATAGTAGGTACTGAACTAATATTGAGGAATTGAGAAATTAGTCTCTGGAGTCAGACAGACATGGATATAAAACTTATCTCAAACATTTACCAGCTATATGGCCTTAGGCAAGTTACTCAGCTGTAGCCAATTTTTTGAATAAAAACTCCATAAGATTTCATAAAGATTCAGAAAGAAAATGTACATAAAGAACTTAGCACAAAACCTAATAGGTGTTAAACACATATTAGCTTTCATCAGTATTACTGTTGTTATTGTTAGTATTTTTCTTTGATCCTTAATAAAAAAACAGAGTTAGGCATTTAATAGATGTTTTTATCATTGTTAGCACTGTTGTTGTCCACCAATACTAATAATTAATAAGTACTATCATTTCTTTTCCTCCCAAGCTTTATAAGCCGCATACAAACTGCCCCATCCATTTTTATCATCCAAATAAGATGGTGTTTCTACTCCAGGCTTTCTATTGTGTTTTAATTTATTATTCAGAGAACCAACTCTATTTCCAGCATATGGTGTGGGTAGAAGAAACATAGAAGAAGTTAGAGGTACAAATACTAGGGTACCTGGGGTCCATGCAGCAAAGACTGCTGATGGCAACAACAACAAAATATTAGAACCTCTGCTTCACTCCTCCACAGCATTTATACTACCTTGAAAAGGCTTCACATAGACAGAGAGCCAGTCCCCTTCCACATACATTCTGAATTAAAACACCAATAAAAAAATGTTTCCCAGCCTCAACTTATAGATAATTTATTTCTGAATAAAATTGAAAATTTTAAAATCCCAATGAATTTTGCTGTGACAGATTTTTTATCTGAAGTAGCCAAGACCTTCCTTAGAAAGTATTATTATCTTAATAGTAGAAAATGAAGAAAGCAATGGATTAAAGACTTAAATGTTAGACCTAAAACCATAAAAACACTAGAAGAAAACCTAGGCAATACATTCAGGACATAGGTATGGGCAAAGACTTCATGACTAAAACACCAAAAGCAATGGCAACAAAAGCCAAAACTGACAAATGGGATCTAATTAAACTAAAGAGCTTCTGCACAGCAAAAGAAGCTAACATCAGAGTGAACAGGCAACCTACAGAATGGGAGAAAATTTTTACAATCTACCCATCTGACAAAGGGCTAATATCCAGAATCTACAAGGAACTTAAACAAATTTACAAGAAAAAAACAAACAACCCCATCAAAAGTGGGCAAAGAATATGAACAGACAGTTCTCAAAAGAAGACATTTATGCAGCCAACAGACACATGAAAAAACGCTCATCATCACTGGTCATCAGAGAAATGCAAATCAAAACCACAATGAGATACCATCTCACACCAGTTAGAATGGTGATCATTAAAAAGTCAGGAAACAACAGGTGCTGGAAAGGATGTGGAGAAATAGGAACACTTTTACACTGTTGGTGGGACTGTAAACTAGTTCGACCATTGTGGAAGACAGTGTGGTGATTCCTCAAGGATCTAGAACCAGAAATACCATTTGACCCAGCGATCCTATTACTGGGTATATATCCAAAGGATTATAAATCATGCTACTATAAAGACACATGCACATGTATGTTTATTGCACCACTATTCACAATAGCAAAGACTTGGAACCAACCCAAATGTCCATCAATGATAGACTGGATTAAGAAAATGTGGCACATATACATCATGGAATACTATGCAGCCATAAAAGAGGATGAGTTCACGTCCTTTTCAGGGACATGGATGCAGCTGCAAGCCATTATTCTGAGAAAACTATCACAAGGACAGAAAACCAAACACTGCATGTTCTCACTCATAAGTGGGAATTGAACAATGAGAACACTTGGACACAGGGCGGGGAACATCACGCCCCAGGGCGTGTCATGGGGTCAGGGGCAGGGGGAGGGATAGCATTAAGAGAAATACCTAATGTAAATGATGAGTTAATGGGTGCAGCAAACCAACATAGTACATGTATGCCTATGTAACAAACCTGCACTTTGTACACATGTAACCTAGAACTTAAAGTATAATAAAAAAAAATGAAGACAGCAAAAAACTAAGAATATTATTTCAATATAAAGGATATTTTGCCCACATAATTAGAATATTTATCTATTTATAAGCAATTAGATATTTCTAAGTAATTATATATTTATCCTCATAATTAGAAAAAATGAAAGATGTCCTTTGGGGGATACTTTTCTAGTTCTTTTTTTCTTTCTAAGGCATACGGACATGTGCTTGATTAAATTTGATTAGGTATTGTACTGCCACATGTTTGATTTTCTGTTCAAAATTGTTTATTACTGAAATAACTAGGCATTATTTAAAATACAGAGGAATTTAAGATCATATAAATAATGGGGTTATGATGAAGCTTTCCGGATACTATTTTCTTCCCTTTACTTGACTCATCCAAAAGGATGGATGATGCCTATTATAGTAGTAAAGAGAAAAATGCTGACTGAGGTGTGGCATGCAAAACAAATAAAAAATAAAGTAAAGCAAATATGCAAAAGAAAATGAGAGAAAGGACAGAAAGCAAAAAAAGAGAAAAGTGGAAAGTGTCATTAAGAAGACATCTAAAACTAAACAACCTAACTACAATCAAGGGAAATGGGAAAAATATTACAGAACAAAAGAGATACTTTAAATATGAAAAACAGCATAAAATAAAAAAGAAACAAAAGGGAAAAAAAGAAAGACAGCTGGAATATTTTAACAATTTGAAAACGATAATGCTAAAGTGAAGGAAAATAATAAAGACAGCAAAGTCCTGCTAGAAAATAAATACTAAAACAAGATTCAAAGAGCTGAAACATAATTAGAACATTGTTTTCTTAAAATGGACTTAGGTAAAAGTAGACACTAAAATTACAAATAGTAAAAATTCCTTCAGATAAAAATCAGGGTCAAAAAAAGGAAATACTTCAGGGAAGAAAAAGAGGGCTAAAATAAGTCACTGGCACTTCTTAAAAAGTCCTTTTACTGTTTTATGAATGTATGTTGCCAAGCCATAAATAGACAAGGTGGGTAGAGGGGGTGCCAGATGCTGTCAAGTGGCATTTTTCTGTAGTAACACAAAATAGATGTTCCAGAGATATCAAAACGTCAGAAAAAAAACTTTCTCTTTCAACTCAAGAAAAATACAATATTTGAACTTATTGAAGTGACAATATAATACAAATGAAATGATAGTATGTGCTTGAATAATGTAAAATTATAAAGTCATTATTAAACATAATTTTTAAACACTATTGTTAAAGGAAAAGATGTAGATTTGAGGAAAACACATTTTAAAATGTTTCAGAGAGGCTCTTCTATGTACAGGTAAAAAATAGTGGTTAAGCTTAATGATGACAAAATAGAGGGCCTAGGTTCGAATCTTGGTTCTGCTGCTTACTAGTTGAGTGATAACGATGGAGGAGTTTAACTACTCTCAGTTTTTGCATTTATAAAATGGAAATTCTAAAGTTGTTCCAGTGCGTAAATAAGATACTGAATATAAGTTGACATAGTGCTTGAGACCTTTTAGGTACTCATCCATTCTTACTCTGTTATAGATAAAAGAATAAATGTTTAAAAATCTTGGTAACGATTGAAAGAAAAATAATAACATTTATTCAGATTTTTAAAATTTCTCATAAATATGTCTTGGTAAACATACCATAATTACATAATTATGTTAATTATATTACAATGAAATTATCTTCTTGGGGAAATTTAGACAGTCCTTTTAAGGGTTTTTTAAATAAAAAACATTCATACCCAGTCAACTTTGTGAGAGAGCAGTAATAATAAAAAGACAAGGAACATGAATGAATGACATTGTATTGACAGAATGAAAGTTGAAGTATTCAAAAATAAAATTTCAGGGTGTTAAATTAATACAGTTGGTTATATGTAAAAGTACCTTTGGCTGCAGATCACTTCTTAATAATTCCATAAATGACTGAGAGAGATCAGACTCTTGCTTTCTAAATTCTAATGATAGGTACAAATGTGTGTTTCTGCTAAAAGGCTGTCTAAATTTTAAAATTAGTAAATAAACAAAATCTGTTTGATTTAAAAGTCAAAGTTCTAAATTATGAGATAAATGTGGAGAAATTTTGTGACAGCCAAAATATTTATTACTTTGTGGCTAAGAGTTTAGTCTATCTACATGTCATTCTTTCCACCGTAACAAAACTTCAAAGTATAATACCAACATTCTATAAATAAATTTAGGTGTCTACAGTTTAAAACACTATGGACAGGCTGGGCACGGTGGCTCATGCCTGTAGTCCCAGCACTTTGGGAGATCGAGGCAGGTGGGTCATGAGGTCAGGAGTTCAAGACCATCCTGACCAACATGATAAAACCCCATCTCTACTAAAAATACAAAATTTAGCCAGCATGGTGGTGTGTGCCTGTAATCTGAGCTACTCAGGAGGCTGAGGTAGGAGAATCACTTGAACCCGGGAGGTGAAGGTTGCACTGAGCCGAGATTGCACCACTGCACTCCAGCCTGAGCGACAGAGCAAGACTCCGTCTCAAAAAAACAAACAAACAAAAAACCGTTATGGACACTACTAATTTAATAAGGTGTGTGAAATATGTAGCAATCACTGCTCAAGTATTTTTAATTCTACTATTTCTGTATTTCCAAATAATAACTTTTGCTCTTTTGAATTCTTATTCCTATTTTAAAATTTTTAACTAATATTCTTATTGTTTATCTGGTTCATTTAATTTAATGTTAATACATTTATTTTTCACTTTTTTCTTATTTGATAAGTTTTTTAAGACAACAAATTACCCTTTGGCCACGACTTTAGCTGTGTTGCATAGGTCCTGATTCAGAGTGTTTTCACTTTTATTTTCTACATATTCTGAAATCTCTGCTTTGATTTCATATTTTTAAAACTGCTTTTCATCTTCATTTGATTATATCAATAGGAAAGGAAATTTTCATTATGCCCAGAGTGCAGGTACTATCTTTTTATTCACTGCTTTTATTTCAAAGTAGGACAATGTCATGCATTACTTATACTGTGTCTGCCAGAGAAAGCTCTCTTCCACTCACACAAGCCTCCATTCTCCTTTGCCTCATAGAGCTAGTTGCTTGGAAAGACTCAGTGCAAGGCTCACAAACTGAAGTTCCTGGGCCAGGCAGGCAATCAAAATGAATGAAGCCACACAGCTGAGGGCTGTGTTTAACTGGAGAGATCATGCCTGCCATAAAAAGGCCAGCTGCTACTCACCTATTCCCCAGGAATCCACAGGGGAATGTGTGTTCAGCATTGCCATAGCTTTTCAAAACTGAAAAAGCCCAAAATGAAATCTCCCAATTTTTTTTTTTTTTTTTTTTTTTTTGAGACTGAGTCTTGCTCTGTCGCCCAGGCTGGAGTGCAGTGGCGCCACCTCAGCTCACTGCAAGCTCCACCTCCCGGGTTCATGCCATTCTCCTGCCTCAGCCTCCCGAGTAGCTGGGACTACAGGTGCCCACCACCACGCCCGGCTAATTTTTTTTTATTTTTAGTAGAGACGGGGTTTCACTGTGTTAGCCAGGATGGCCTTGACCTCCTGACCGCATGATCCAGCCGCTTCGGTCTCCCAAAGTGCTGGGATTACAGGCGTGAGCCACCGCGCCCGGCCAAATCTCCCAATTTTTATATGTTGTCACACTATCAAATTTTTTAAAGAAAGCATAGAATCTAAGAAAGGAAAAAAATGTGTCTGTGGGTAGGATTTGACATGTGGCTGCTTAAACTTTCTGGCCCAGGCTTTTGATTTTCAGTGATCAGTGTGATGACCTCTTTTGCTGAAGGTTTATTCATCACTAGGGATAATGAGAGACTGGATGTTAGAGTCAAAAGCCTATATGTGTGTGTATGTATATATATACTTTAAGTTTTGGGATGCATGTGCAGAACATGCAGGTTTGTTACATAGGTATACATGTGCCATGGTGGTTTGCTGCACCCATCAAAGCATCATCTACATTAGGTATTTCTCCTAATGCTATCCCTCTCCTATCCCCCCAACCCCCAACAGGCCCTGGTGTGTGATGTTCCTGTCCCTGTGTCCATGTGTTGTCATTGTTCAACTCCCACTTATGAGTGAGAACAGAACATGTTCCTGTGTTAGTTTGCTGACAATGATGGTTTCTAGCTTCATCCATGTCCCTGCAAAGGACATGAACTCATACTTTTTTATGGCTGCATAGTATTCCATGGTGTATATGTACCATATTTTCTTTATCCTGTCAATCATTGATGAGCATTTGGGTTGTTTCCAAGTCTTTGCTATTGTAAATAGTGCTGCACTAAACATATGAGTGCATGTGTCTTTATAGTAGAATGATTTATAATCCTTTGGGTATACACCCAGTAATGGGATTGCTGGATCAAATGGTATTTCTAGTTCTAGATCCTTGAGGAATTGCCAAACTGTCTTCCAGAATGGTTGAACTAATTTATACTCTCACCAATGGTGTAAAAGTGTGGCTGTTTCTCTATGTCTTCTCCAGCATCTGTTGTTTCCTGAATTTTGAATGATCGCCGTTCTAACTGGTGTGAGATGTTATCTCATTGTGGTTTTGATTTGCATTTCTCCAATGACAAGTGATGATGAGCTTTTTTTCATATGTTTGTTGGCTGCACAAATGTCTTCTTTTGAGAAGTGTCTGCTCATATCCTTTGCCCACTTTTTGATGGGGTTGTTTTTGTTTTTGTTTTTATACTTTAAGTTTTAGGGTACATGTGCACAACGTGCAGGTTTGTTACATGTGTATACATGTGCCATGTTGGTGTGCTGCAGCCATTAACTCGTCATTTACATTAGGTATATCTCCTAATGCTATCCCTTCCCCCTCCCCCCATCCCACAACAGGCCCCGGTGTGTGATGTTCCCCTTCCTGTGTCCATGTGTTCTCATTGTTCAATTCCCACCTATGAGTGAGAACATGCGATGTTTGGTTTTTTGTCCTTGTGATAGTTTGCTGAGAATGATGGGGTTGTTTTTGCTTGTAAATTTGCTTAAGTTCCTTGTAGATTCTGGATATTAGCCCTTTGTCAGATGGATAGATTGAAAAAATTTTCCCCATTCTGTAGATTTCCTGTTTACTCTACTGATAGTTTCTTTTGCTGTGCAGAAGCTCTTTAGTTTAATTAGATCCCATTTGTCAATTTTGGCTTTTGTTGCCATTGCTTTTGGTGTTTAAGTCATGAAGTCTTTGTCCATGCCTATGTCCAGAATGGTATTGCCTAGGTTTTCTTCTAGGGTTTTTATGGTTTTAGGTCTTACATTTAAGTCATTAATTCATCTTGAGTTAATTTGTATATAAGGTATAAGGAAGGGGTCCAGTTTAAGTTTTCTGCATATGGCTAGCCAGTTTTCCCAGCACCATTTATTAAATAAGGAATCCTTTCCCCATTGTGTGTTTTTGTCAGGTTTGTCAAAGATCAGATGGTTGTAGATGTGTGACGTTATTCCTAAAGCCTCTGTTCTGTTCCATTGGTCTATATATCTGTTTTGGTACCAGTACCATGCTGTTTGGGTTATTATAGCCTTGTAGTATAATTGGAAGCCGGGTAGCATGATGCCTCCAGCTTTGTTCTTTTTGCTTAGGATTGTCTTGGCTATACAGGCTCTTTTTTGGTTCCAAATGAAATTTAAAGAAGCTTTTTCTAATTCTGTGAAGAAAGTCAATGGTAGCTTGATGGAGATAGCATTGAATCTATAAATTACTTTGGCCAGTATGGCCATTTTCATGATATTGACTCTTCCTACCCATGAGCATGGAATAATTTTCCCATTTGTTTTGTCCTCTCTTATTTCCTTGAGCAGTGGTTTGTAGTTCTACTTTAAGAGGGCCTTCACATCCCTTGTAAGTTGTATCCCTTGGTATTTTATTCTCTTTGTAGCAGTTGTGAATGGGAGTTCACTCATGATTTGGCTGTTTGTCTGTTATTGGTGTATAGGAATGCTTGTGATTTTTGCACACTGATTTTGTATCCTGAGACTTTGCTGAAGTTGCTTATCAGCTTAAGGAGATTCTAGGCTGAGATGATGGGGTTTTCTAAATATACAAGCATGTCATCTGCAAACAGAGACAATTTGACTTCTGCTCTTTCTATTTGAATACCCTTTATTTCTTTCTCTTGCCTGATTACTCTGGCTAGAACTTCCAATACTATGTTGAATAGGAGTGGTGAGAGAGGGCATCCCTGTCATGTGCCAATTTTCAAAGGGAATGCTTCCAGCTTTTGCCCATTCAGTACGACACTGGCTGTGGGTTTGTCATAAAAAGCTTTTATTATTTTCAGATACGTTCCATCAATACCTAGTTTATTGACAGATTTTAGCATGAAGAGCTGTTGAATTTTGTCGAAGGCCTTTTCTACATCTATTGAGATAATCATGTGGCTTTTGTCATTGCTTCTGTTTATTTGATGGATTACGTTTATTGATTTGCGAATGTTAAACCAGTCTTGCATCCCAGGGATGAAGCCAACTTGATTGTGGTGGATAAGCTTTTTGATGTGCTGCTGGATTTGGTTTGCCAGTGTTTTATTGAGGATTTTCGCATCAATGTTCATCGGGGATATTGACCTGAAAATTTCTTTTTTCTTGTTGTGTCTCTGCCAGGATTTTCGTGAAGCACACCCAAGTATCAACAGCCAAACTGATCAAGTGGAAGAAAGGGTATCAGAGATTGAAGATCAACTTAATGAAATAAAGATTGAAGACAAGATTAGAGAAAAAAGAATGAAAAGGAATGAACAAAGCTTCCAAGAAATATACAACTATATTAAAAGACCAAAACTATGTTTGATTGGCATATCTGAAAGTGATGGGGAGAATGGAACCAAGTTGGAAAACACTCTTCAGGATATTATCCAGGAGAACTTCCCCAACCTAGCAAGATAGGCCAACATTCAAATTCAGGAAATACAGAAACCACAGAGATGCTCCTCAAGAAGTGCAACCCTAAGACACATAATTGTCAGATTCACCAAGGTTGAAATGAAGGAAAAAATGTTAAGGGCAGCCAGACAGAAAGGTCAGGTTACCCACAAAGGAAAGCCCATCAGACTAACGGCAGAACTCTCTGCAGGCCAGAAGACAGTGGGGGTGAATAGTCAACATTCTTAAAGAAAATAATTTTCAACCCAGAATTTCATATCCAGCCAAACTACGTTTCATAAGCCAAGGAGAAATAAAATCCTTTACAGACAAGCAAATGATGAGAGATTTTATTACCATCAGCCATGCCTTACAAGAGCTGCTGAATGAAGCAGTAAATATGGAAAGGAAAACCCAGTATCAGCCACTGCAAAAAACACGTCAAATTGTAGAGACCATCAAGACTATAAAGAAACTGCATCAACTAATGGGCAAAATAACCAGCTAGCATCATAATGACAGGATCAAATTCACACATAACAAATAATAACCTTAAATGTAAATGGGCTAAATGCCCCAATTAAAAGATACAGACTGGCAAATTGGATAAAGAGTCAAGATCTCTCAGTGTGCTGTATACAGGAGACCCATCTCAAGTGCAAAGAAACACATAGGCTCAAAATAAAGGGATGGAGGAAGATCTACCAAGCCAAACAAAAGGAAAGCCAAACAAAAAAACAGAGGTTGCAATCCTAGTCTCTGATAAAACAGACTTTAAACCAACAAAGATCAAAAAAGACAAAGAAGGGCATTACATAATGTTAAAGGGATCAACACAACAAGAAGAGCTAACTATCCTAAATATATAAGCACCCAATACAGGAGCACCCAGATTCATAAAGCAAGTTCTTAGAGACCTACAAAGAGACTTAGACTCCCACACAATAATAGTGTGAGGCTTTAACATCCGATTGTCAATATTAGACAGATCAATGAGACAGAAAATTAAGAAGAATATTCAGGACTTGAACTCAGCTCTGGACCAAGTGGACCTATAGACATCTACAGAACTCTCCACCCCAAACCAACAGAATATACTTTCTTCTCAGCACCACATTGCACTGATTCTAAAATTGATCACATAATTGGAAGTAAAACACTCTTCAGCAAATGCAAAAGAATGGAAATCATAACAAACAGTCTCTCAGACCACAGTGCAATCAAATTAGAACTCAGGATTAAGAAACTCACTCAAAACCACACAAGTCATGGAAACTTAACAACCTGCTCCTGAATGAATACTGGGTAAATAACGAAATTAAGGCAGAAATAAATAAGTTCTTCGAAACCAGTGAGAACAAAGACACAATGTACCAGAATATCTGGGACACAGCTAAAGCAGTGTTTAGAGGGAAAATTATAGCACTATATGCCCACAAGAGAAAGCAGGAAGATCTAAAATCAACACCCTAACATCACAAATATAAGAACTAGAGAAGCAAGAGCAAACAAATTCAAAAGCTAGCAGACAAGAAATAAGTAAGATAAGAGCAGAACCAAAAGAGATTGAGACATGAAAAACACTTCCAAAAAATCACTGAATCCAGGAGCTGTTTTTTTGAAAAGATTAACAAAATAGATAGATTGCTAGCCAGACTAATGAAGAAAGGAGACAAGAATCAGATAGACACAATAAAAAATGATAAAGGGGGTATCACCACTGATCCCACAGAAATACAAACTACCAGCAGAGAATACTATAAACCCTCTATGCAAATAAGCTAGAAAATCTAGAAGAAATGGATAAATTCCTGGACACATACACCCTGCCAAGACTAAACAAGGAAGAAGTCAAATCCCTGAATTGACCAATAACAAGTTCTGAAATTGAGGCAGTAATGAATAGCCTACCAAAGAAAAAAAGCACAGGACCAGACAGATTCACAGCCGAATTCTACCACAGGTACAAAGAGGAGCTGGTACCATTCCTTCTGAAACTATTCCAAACAATAGAAAAAGAGGGACCCTCCCTAACTCATTTTATGAGTCCAGCATCATCCTGATACCTTTGTTTATATTTACCAGATATAAAATTTTCTAAATGTGAGGTGCTAGAGATGTGTGTGATTTTTTTTACTTGCTATTTTAGAAAAATTACTATTTTAAAGTCATAACCATAAATATTGAAATTCAAAATTTTCACACGTTATAACTTTTTCAGAGGATAAAAAGGTTTTCCAGGGTAGAATTTCATTCAATTAGATCACAGTGAAACTAAAAATAACCTTAGAACAAAAAAGATACTGCCATTGTATTTATTCTAGGTCACTGTACAATCCCCACCTGTTCTCTTGGCAAATTTTAGTCTATAGATGTTACTGTACTAATTTTCACACCCTTTTCCAAGAAATGAAAATTATCATATTTACTATCCAAAGCAAGAATCAGCAAATATTTCAGTGAAGTTCTGGATAGTAAATATTTTGGAGATCATATGGTCTCTCTTGCAATATAGCAATATACTTCAATATATCATGGTATCATGACACAAAGCAGCATTCACAAAGCAGCAAAAACAATATGCAAATGAATGTCATAGCTATGTTCCAGTAACATTTTATCTCTTGCTAAAATTTGGATTTTATGCTGGGTATGGTGGTCCACTCCTGTAATCCCAGTTCTTTGGGAGGCTGAGGTGGGAGGATCACTTGAGGTCAGGAGTTCAAGACCAGCCTGGTCAACATGGTGAAATGCCATTTCTAATAAAAATACAAAAATTAACTGGGTGTGGTGGTGCATGCCTGTAATCCCAGCTACTCAGGAGGCTAAAGCACGAAAATTGCTTGAACCCAGGAGGTGGAGGTTGCAGTGAGCTGAGATCACACCACTGCACTCCAGCCTGGGTGACAGAGCAAGACTTCATCTCAAAAAAGTAAATAAAATTTGAATTTTATATAATTTTCATAAATCCCAAAACATTAATTTTTATTTTTTAACCACTTAAAAATGTAAAAACACTTGTCAATTCATAGTCCTACAAAAACAGGTGGTGGGACAGGTTTGACCCACAGGCCATAGATGCTAACTTATAACTTTAGAGCAAATCATTCCCAGTATCAAGATAACCTGGAATACCAAATTCCATGTAAATTTTTAATAGTTTTAAAATTATATTGCCAAATTAATAAGGTTGCTTAGAAGCAAAGAATCAGAACAGAGGAACATGGATTATCTGAAGGAACATTTCATCTAAAACCAGGTAGCTTCCAGGTAATTATCAATATCCTACAAAAAAGCGTATCACATGGAAACTGCTAATAAATATCTCCTTGCCCACTTGTGAAGTTTTCTCATTTTACAAATCCACAGTCAAGCAGAGACTTCAAAATTTCAGTGGGGATAAGCAGTATTCCTAATGGTTTTGCCGGCTCTAACTCTGGCTAATTTTTTTTGAAGATGACATTTCCGACTATATTATCTCTTAACAACACATTGAAGGCAGATAAAAGCCAGGAGTTATAAGACCAATCTCTATCATATGGGCAACACTATAGGTAGATACATATTTAACCTTATTTTACCAAGGAAAATGTGAAATAATTTGTTTGTTAAATGTACCAGTGGGTTTCTATTTTCAGTTTCCTAAGGAAACTATCATTATCCCTTATTTTCTTTCAGGAATTAAAAACCACACAGTAAGTAGATTTATTTCATATAATTTTTAGAGGTTGTTTATATTACCAAGATGTTATAAAGCCATTTATCATATATATTTCTTGTGTGTGCAGTCCTATCTCATGTGATAATATAGATGTTCCCTTTTGCAAAGCTGTTGTATCCAGAATAAAGAAGAATCTAGGAGGAAGGTGAGGAAGTCTGAAACAATCCGACAGAACAATGAGTGGTTCCTTAATCATTTCTGAGTATTTCCTTGCACAGATTTTAGATATTATATCTGTTCTGAAAAAAATATATAAATAAGATAATCAAACCAAAATATCTTTTGCAAATGTCTCCTTGGCTAATGAAGTCCATAGCTTGGATTCAGCATTTTATACTTAGAGTTATCTAAGGTCTTCAGGAATATATAAGTTAGAGAGTTAAATCCACCTTCTCATTTTGAAAATAGCAATAGATGGATGTCTGTTGTGTCAGAAAAGAAGAATCCTAGAAGCCTCCCAAAAGTGTGCTAAGTAATTTGTATGGCTTAATTAACATTACGTTCTACTGAAATCATGAAATGAAGGTATGATTAAATATTTCTAAAGTATGGAAATTTTTAGGAAAGATACATGTTTGTGTTAATTTTGCTTAATATTGCCAGCTATTTTATTAAAATCCAAGAGGAGTTCTTTTCTTCCTCGGGGAATTTAAATTTTTATAAAATAGTCATAACTAGGTATCCTGCTAATGTCCTACTCATGATAAATCCCCTAAGATTTCAGGTCCAGGAACTAGGGGCCTAGGACTGGGCCCAGGAACTAGGGGCCAGTAGAAGTCATTACTGTACTTATTGAAGGCGGCAGTAATGATGGTAATGGTGGTGTGTGTGTGCGTTTGTTTTGTCTCCATGGCAATTTGTTTAAATATTCCAACTGTATGAAGAGAAATCATCCCAAATGAAACTATTTTTAAAAGAAAAACAAAGTGTTACATTTTTTTCACATGCCTCTATAACTTTTATCCAAATTGTCATTGATCACTCCTTAATCAGCTATAAATATGTAAATATTGATAATAGTATTATCTAACTCAAATTTAAATGTTTTAACCTTAAGAAATTTATAGAAAACATTTGTCAAATGCTTTACTGAAAAATAATCTGTCATGAAATCCCCATGATTTAGTATTCTACCAATTATTTTTGAAAAATATATTATCGTTTTATTTTCACATTCTTTTATAATTATTTACACTTGTCATTTCAGTAATACTTTCTAGAATCTCACCAGAAACTGAAACTTACCAGTTTTGTTTTATCTAGTACTTGCTATCTCCTCCCACCACATGTAAACACACTAGGGTAATTAAGACAAATTGAAGCTAAGACATATTATAAAGAACTATAATGAACCCACCTCTTGTCTACTTGACACCCAAGATATTTAGAAATTATTAAACTGACAAAATTCAACTAAAAAGAATATTTTATAGGTACTCAGTCTTGGTAAAGGAGAAAGCCCTAGAGTAGAAATCAAGAAGAAGACTTTTAGTTCTGGCTCTGACACAAATTAGCTACATGGTCTTCAGTATGTCTTAAATTTTTTTTGTTTCTTCATCTGCAAGATGGGATTAAGAAAAGATCTGTTCAATTGGTGGAGTTATTTTGCATTTTATTGAAGTTAATACATATGGAAATCTTTAGAAATATATAAAATGTTCTAAAATTTTGTGGTCTAACATTAAATCAATTCTACTTAAATTTACTTATATATTGATCTTCTACTATGTTTTAATTTCTGTGCCACTTTCAGTTATAATTAGATTTATAATAATTTCCACCAATGAATGTGGGGTCAAGGCAAGATTATGACCATGTGACTAACAAAAATTCTGATGTTTTAGAAAAATCTAGTTTTCTTCCATCCTGCTCCACAGAATCAGCCTGTGCGCGTGTGCATGTATATATATGTGCATGTGGTTTTTATGTTGGGAGGTGTACACTGAGAAATTACAGCATAAGGATCTACTTAACTTCTATTACTGACAATGCTGGAGCATGCCCCCAGAAAGAGGTACTAGATTCAAGTCACACAGTATTATGACTCACTTTGTTCGCAACCATATCACCAACTTAATCACAGCAACCAGAAGCAATTCATTAAGAGCCACATGATGGTCATGATGTCTGGCTATAACAAGTTTTTTTGTTTGTGTGTTTGTTTAAAAAAAAATTAGAATGCCTTAACCAAAACAAGTCACTTAGTAGTCCAAAACATACCACCACACTCATAACTGTTAGAATACAAGATAATGATTTGTGTTTCTCTAATAACCAGTGATGATGAGCATTTTTTCATGTTTGTTGACTGCATAAATGTCTAACAAACCTACATGTTCTAAACATGTACCCCAGAACTTAAAGTATAATTTAAAAAAAAAGAATACAAGATAATGCCATATATGCTGCTAGTAAACTACAATTAATTCAGGATGATAATATCAAGAATATTAATGATGTTCCAGTTAAACACTGGCTCATATAATACTGTTTTTGAACTTATTTCTGGTTTGTAGAGGACTAATGATCTGTATATGAATACACGACTAAAACTTAGGATGAAAATGTCCCACTAAGACTGAAGACTAGTATCTGAAACAGGCTTTAGAATTTAAAATTGCATTGCTACATTCAGCAGTATCTGCTAAAGTGCAATTCTTTATTAATATTCACAATCCATGCACATTGCTCCCAAGAATACCCAACACCAAATAAAATTAGTCATCAATAAGTCTTCTTCTCTTGAATTATATGTTAAATCTCCTCTGATCCATGCTAAAATCTATGATCCCTAAAATCCTTTTCAAATGTGACCTACTCACATGGGCTGCTCACATTTATCACTGGTAAGTTTTATTTAATTAAAAAATTTTTCTTAACACCTTTTGACTACTCAGAAATAGGTATGTATATCGGTATTAGGTAGCTATTAGTAACCCCGTTCACTAGGCATAGAGCCTTAGACAAATTCAGAGAGATGGCAAAATTTGGTATTTTTCTCCAGTAACATTGAATCCAAGAGGAAGGCAATATACAAGAAAATTACCTCTGACTGAGTCCAGACAGGGTTATCCATAGCTACACATTACTAAGTAATATTTTACAGTTTCGTATCTATAAGGTGAGAGAAAAAGAATGTGATCTGTTAGAGACATTTTATCTTATAATTTAATATAATCAACATTTACCTCTCACAAAAAGTATTCACTGGGTTGTTTATAATGGTGGCTTTATTATGGCCCATCTGCTTTATTTGCAGCCTGGGTGACCAGATGGCTGGGTCAAGGGAGCTTCATCTTTCTTGCCTAAATACAAAGAACACTTAAAATAGATTGTAGTATGTGTGATCAGAAACTAGCTTACTGCTGACCATTATCTATGTATAATCAGTTTATTTAAATGTAATTATTGTAAAAGTAAAATCCATGTCTTAGGCATATATATTCCTAATTTAGCATTGCACTGAACACATTGAAGCCATGCACTAAATAGTTATTGTTGATTGTAAGGAGCAAACTTAGTACAATCCACCCAGTAATATTTTCTTATGTATTTATTTGAGATGGAGTTTCATTTTTTCGCCCAGCCTGGAGTGAAGTGGTGCCATCTCGGCTCACTGCAGCCTCTACTCCCCCCACCACCACCCCTAGCCTGGGTTCAAGCGATTCTCCTGTCTCAGCCTCCCGACTATCTGGGATAATAGGCACCCGCCACCATGCCTGGCTAATTTTTGTATTTTTAGTAGAGACAGGGTTTTGCCATGTTGGCCAGGCTGGTCTCAAACTCCTGACTTCGAGTGGTCCACCCGCCTCAGCCTCCCAAAGTGCTAGGATTACAGGTGTAAGCCACCGCGCCTGGCCCGAAAAAATATTTAAATAACACTCAGTGGCCCAAGAAAAATCTTGCCACAGGCTCAATAATATGTATAACTATTGGTAACTCCTTTATAAATATTGGTAACTCTGACAAAAATAACAGCACTAATTTTTTACCCACTACTAATGTACTACTTAAGGTAACTAAGGGCCTGAAAAAGCACCCAAATTATTTCAAGAACTAATTTATAAACTAAGAATTTGTCTGATTAAGGAAATTTTATTTTGACCATGCTTTCTTTTTAAAATCATCAATAGGTAACATACTAGAGAAACAAAAATTTCCAAGATGTGTTTGTGTATGGTGGTTATTTAAATAATAAACACTAATAGACAAAATGCAGTAGTACATCAAGAATAATTGCCAGGTTATTTACAAAAGCTCATCAAATTGAGATCATAATTATAGTACTGCTTCAAGGTATAGACAGGAATCCTCAAAAAGATGCATGTTTTAAATGGTGACAGTTATACTTAGTATAGATATAAATTTTTATGATGTCCTGTTTATTTTCAAAGTAATAGAAAATTTCTGTCTTCTTAAATGATCTCTTTCTCTCTCCCTCGCTCTCTCCCTTCTCTCTCTTCTCACTCACTTTCAATTTAAGAAATAAAAGAGATCTTTGCTGTAGGAAAAAGCACAGACTAATAATTACATTCAGGTAACATTTAGAGATTTCTATTTGTTTTTCAAATTTAGCTAGTTCTCTTCCTTCCAATTTACTCTTGGAATGCAAATTAACACAAACATATGTGGGGGGGGTGGCAAATATATCTTCATAAACATAAGCATCTCTGATTTATTAGCAATCTGATTATTGATAAAATTTACCTTATTTAGTATCAGAAGTGTGTTGCACTGACTTTTTCATCCCCTTTACTTATTTTCTTATACAAATTCAATATTTGAAATATCTTAACTTTTGTATAAAGTTTTATAGAAAGAGTCATAGTATATTTTAAGATTATACTGCTAAAGAAATTATCTTTTTTATAGTAAAGAAAAATAGGATAAATAGCATTTATTTATATGATATCAAAACAATTATTTGAAAACTGAAAAAAATTCATTAGCATTTTAAATAATTTTTATATATAAAGTTGCTCAATTTAAAATACCACGATATGGGTAATGCTGAATATGTTATCATCTACTTGGGGTGGTTTCTGAATGGCTACATTTAACAGAAAATGTGTTAGCTAAATGAAAATGGAATTTATTTAGTGGTTTTTATCTCCAAGAAAAAGGAAAGAAGGAAAACACCTTTTGAATATTGCACTCCTCCTGCCTCTGTAATAGGCTTTTGCTTTAATTATCTAATTTAAATCTCACATACGTCCTACCAAAAAATATTGGAATAATTATCCACATTTTGTAGATGAGGAAACTGATATTTTCAGAAGCCAGGTAATTTTCTTGTGGTAATTTTTGCTGTTGTTCTGTTGTTATTCATACATGAATTTTTTCCAATAAATTTAATAAATCTCATTAGGATACATAAATATGGCCAGCTAAATTAAATTTAGAGTAAGTGAGGTTGAGGTATAGAAAAACTAAGTGAAGTTATATATAGCTTCTAATGATAGACCACAACTTTAAGCATTCTAGCAGATAAAATTTAAAATATAGTTAATATGATATATACTATCCACAAGTTTAAAACAAGCAGTTGCTTAGGAAATTACCTTTATTTTTGTTTGGTAAACTCATGGTACAATTACTGTCACATGGGGGATTTTATAAAACTATTTCTTAAAACTCGTGTAACTTTATTATATTATATTGTCCTGGGACAAAGAATGCATAGTTCATCAGCAGTCTATTGCTGGATGGTGGAAGAAGAGGTGTTTCCTTTAGGAGAATACTTTATAGCCATTGAAAACAATGTTTTTGAAAAATATTTATTACCATGGATATTGGTCACAATACATCGTTAAATAAAATATATAAACATATAAAAATAAAAATTTCTATTCTCATACACTTACCATGTTTAAGTTTTTCCATATTTTCTCTTCAGTTCTAACATAAGTGCTTCCAATTTGTTACTACTAGAAACAGAAGTAATATTTTTAATTATTAAATAGTAATTGGATCATATTTCTTTCTGATAGTAACCATCAAATGCTAAATAACTTTTAAAATATCACAAAATATAAAAATATATTAAGGTAATATAAACACCTTTAACAATTCTCTTTCAAATGTAAATGTTCTGCAGTGTTTTTTTGTTTTTTTTTAATTATACTATTATTATACTTTAAGTTTTAGGGTACATGTGCACAAAGTGCAGGTTTGTTACATATGTATACATGTGCCATGTTGGTGTGCTGCAACCATTAATTCTCACTCATAGGTGGGAATTGAACAATGAGAACACATGTTCTGTAGTTTTTATTGCACCAAGAGAATAAAGTTGGCAATTAACCTGTTGTCATGGGATCTAAATTCCAATTTGTCACATGACCTTAAAATGCACAACAGAATATTCTATCTTAAGGTAATGTAAGTGTGCATAATAAATTAAGATAAAAATTGAAGTAGAGTATGGAACACACCCTTCTATTCATTACTGTTTTTCTGACAGGTTAACTAGCTTCATGCCAACAAACTAACAATTTCCATTTTCCAGTTCTCTAGTAAAAAGGGTAAACACATTCCAGAAAACATAAAAATACCTTCAAAACATTTTGGAACCTGCAAATATATAAACCAGTCTTTTCATTAGTGCTATAACATTTAATGACACTTTCACTTATAATTGGCTTTTTTTTTTAATTCGGGATTACATTATGTGCCTTCTATGTCTTTCTCAACTTTTATCTCTTCTCCACAGCTCATTAGGCAAAGAAGGGAGAAAATAGGAACACAAATTACATGGCTTTATCGTTGGTCCTTTAGGCGAGATACACATCTATGCTCCTTAGAGAGTTACCTATATTCCAAAAATCAGCAGCAGTTCTAAGTTGTTTTCCATTCTACAGTATATTTGATATTTCCTAGTGTCCTTGATAAATCTTCCTTGGATAAGTACTATAGAACTTTTGTCTAATTACATACTAACAGAAGAAAAGTTGACAAACACAAAAAATATATCACCACTGCAAAACTTTCATGTGTATCTCTTATTCTATGTAGGTTACAACACATGTATTTTAAAAGTTATTTTATATTATACAAAACAGTCTTGTAGCACTTCCTCAACTCTAGCAATGCACTCTGCAAACAAATTTTAATAGCTAAATATTTCATCATCTTGGTATACTGTCATTTACTAAATAACTTTAAGGTTATATCCACTTTTTGCTATTGAAAATAAAGCTGAGGAAGAGTCCAAGATGGCAGACTAGAAGCAGCTAATATGCGTTGGCTCTCAGAAAGAGAAACGGAAGGGGCGAGTAAATATAGCACTTCCAACAGAAACATCCAGGTACTTGCATTGGGACTAATCAAGGAAACGACTTGACCCACGGAGACAGAGAAAAGCAAGGCAGGACAACCGCCCACCTGGGGGCAGCACGGAGCCAAGGGAGCCTCCCCCGCCCAAGGAAGTGGTGAGCGAACGTGCAACCCCAGGGATCCATGATTCTCCCATGTATCTTTGCAACCCTTGGGTCAGGAGATCCCCTCGTGAACCCACTCCACGAGGGCCTTCAGTATGACACACAGAGCTACCTGGAGTCTTGGCACGGCAGCCGCTCAGGCACGCATGGAGACCAGGAAGACTTAGAAACTCCGGCTTTCTGAGCTTTCTGGCAAAAGTAGCTCTGACTCTGGCAAAGTGGGAGGTTGGATCCCCATACATACCCCTAAAAAGGAGGCTGAATCCACGGGGCTGAGCAGCGACCATCTGCAGACCCCACTTCCCTGGCACCTCACGGGATAAGACCCACTGGCTTGGAATTCCAGCCAGCCGCTGGGAGCAGTGTTACATCTTTCTGAGATGGTGCCCCTGGAGGTGGGGGAGTAGGGGACACCATCTTTGCTGTTTGGGTGACTTAGCCGTTCCAGCCTTCGGGCTTTGAAGTGTCTGAGCTGACTGAGCACGGAGGCAGTGCCTCAGCACAGCGCAGCTGCTCTACCAAATCATGGCCAGACTGCTTTATCAAGCAGGTCCCTGATCTCATTCCTCTTCACTGGCTGGGACCTCCCAGCTGGAGTCTTCAGCCACCCCCACCAGTGATCTCCACTTGACGCAGTTTTTTTGTTGTTTGTTTGTTTGGTTTTTGTTTGTTTGCTTTTTGAGACTGAGTCTCACTCTGTCTCCCAGGCTGAAGTGCAGTGGTGCGATCTCGGCTCACTGCAACCTCCACCTCCCGGGTTCAAGAAATTCTTGTGCCTCAGCCTACTGAGTACCAGGGATTACAGGCACCCGTCATGACGCCCAGCCAATTTTTGTATTTTTAGTAGAGACGGGGTTTCACCATGTTGGCCAAGCTGGTCTCGAACTCCTGACCTCAAGTAATCTGCCTGCCTTGGCCTCCCAAAGTGCTGGGATTACAGGCGTGAATCACCACGCCCGACCTGATGCAGTTTTGAAACCTCCCTAGGATGGAGCACCCAGAGAGAGGGGCAGGCCACCATCTTTGCTGTTTGGGAGACAGCTTTTCCAGCCTTTGGGCTTTGGAGTGTCTGAGGTGACCAGGGGCTGAAGTAGACCCCCAGCACAGTACAGCTCCTCTATGAAAATGTGGCCAGACTGCTTTTTCAAATGGGTCCCAATCTCATTCCTCGTAACTGGGAGAGATCTCCCATCCAGGGTCTCCAGCCACCTCCTACACGTGAATTCAGTCTAGAAACAGGCCCGTACCTCCCTGGGACAGAGCTTCCAGAGGGAGGGTTAGGCTGCCATCTTTGCTGTTTCATAGCCTTCACTGGTGATAACTCCAGGTACTGGAAAGTCTGAGGCAACTACGAACTGGAATGGAACCCCAGAATACTACATCAGCCCTGTGGAAAAGTGGCCAGACTGTTACATGTGCCCATTCCCATATATCCTCACCTGGCAGTTCTAGGCCTCTAGACACCCCTAACCAGAGCTATTGGGGCAGTAGCAACTCAGTGACTCCCTGGACAGAGCCTCAAGGGGCAACTGAAAGTCTCTCTGCTACTGCCTTTTCAGTGAAACTGTCCTTGCTGCCCTCAAACTAATAAAGGAGTAAAGACCCTAAGTGCCTTATGAACACCTTCAACAAGTTGCTGCTCACCCAAGGAGAGGAGGCCAGTCTGTCTCCCATGCAACCACGCAAGCCCAACTGCTTGTAGCCAAACAGGGAATCCCTGGCTTGAGTCCACAGCACAGACCCTCCATCCTGGCCTGAGTGCACTGAGCAATTGCTGACCTGCATCTCTCTGGGGTAGAGCCCCCAGGAGACAAGCAAAGTGGTGGGGCAGTAAGCCAGCTGATGTTGAGCCCAGAGGGTTTGGTGCGGGAACATCTGTAGCAGAGTATGGCCAGGGATGGCCATTCGTCTAGGCTGCACTTGCTCCCATAAGAGACTTTAGTCCTAGGGGAGGTGTCAGACCTGATCTCTTCAGGGTGGCCTTGAACATCAGATAGGGCTACTCCAACCTGAGCGCTCCTTGGTCAGCTGCCTCTCATGGAGCCCCAGCCTAGACACACCTGCTTACAGGGCAGTCTTGGGTGCCCTGGGGGCCCATGCCATAGTTTCTGTTCTGGCAGACCATGCCTGAATGGTGGAGAGCTCCAGCGAGGCAGCCCCTATTGCCGCACACCAGCCCACACATTCCCTCTGCATGCTGCAGCTTCCCCTGAGCCCACAGCAACTCCTCACATCACTTTGCTGATGCATGTCTACACAGGTGGATTTTGCTTTACTTGCCCCACTAGCAGGCAGGAATGCATTACACCCCTCCCACCCCTGCTGACCGTCATTGCAGATGAAGCCTTGGCAGGAACAGAGCCAGCCAGCCTTCCAGCATCCCACCCATGCGCTAATACTGTGCAGAGAACAGAGGATCCTCCCACACCCTAACTGATCACTCCTGCTTGCAGAGCACAGAGAAGGCACCCAAATCTGCACTAGCCAGCACACTGCCCTACGCCAACACCACCTCTAGTGCAACAACACACACAGCTTCCAGCAGGGGCCTCCCACTCCCTATCAGCTGCCTTGCCTCTGCTACTGTGGTGAATACCCACAGGGAGGCAGGCACCCTGGGATCCACTAGCACTCAGCTGCAGCTGCTGCACCTCAGCACCACCAGCACAGTGGACTCCAAACCCCAAGGAGATAGAGAACAAAATTGGGGCCCAATACAATTCCCCCCCAGGGAGAGTATACAGTTTAGGAGTTGGGAGCTGAGCGCTGGCCTCCTAAAACCTCCCAGAAACAAAGCCAGTCATCTGAGTCCACCTTATACCACAATCAAATCCTTAATGTCATCCAATCAGATAAAAGGAAACAATCCAAAGATCAGCAACCTCAAAAAGTAAAGGTAGATAAACCCACAATAATCAGAAAGAATTAGCATGAGAACACTGAAAACTCAAAAAGCCAAAGTGCCTTTTTTCTTCCAAATGACTGCATCATCTCTCCAGCAAGGGTTTAGAACCAAGCTGAGGCTGAGATAGCTGAAATGACAAAGTAGAATTCAGAATATTGATAGGTACAAACTTCATTGAGCTAAAGGAGTATGTTGTAGCACAATTCAGGGAAGCTAAAAATCATGATAAAACATTGCAGTGGCTGACAGACAAAACAGCCATTATCGAGAAGACCATAACTGACCTGAGAGAGCTGAAAAACACACTACACGAATTTCACAATGCAATCACAAGTATTAATAGCAGAATAGACCAAGCAGAGAAAATAATCTCGACTCTTAAACACTGGCTTTCTGAAATAAGACAGGCAGACAAGAATAGAGAAAAAGAATGAAAATGAATTAACAAAACCTCTGAGAAATGTCAGATTATGTAAAGAGATCGAATCTATAGCTGATTGGTGTACCTGAAAGAGATGGAGAGAATGGAACCAACTTGAAAATCATATTTTAGGATGTTAGGCATGAGAACTTCCCCAACCTAGCTGGAGAGGTCAACATTCAAATTCTGGAAATGCAGAGAACCTTAGTAAGATACTTCACAAGAAGACTATCTCCAACGCACATAATTATCAGATTCTCTAAGGTTGAAATGAAAGAAAAAAAATTAAAGGCAGCTAGAAATGTTAGGCTACATACAAAGGGAAGCCCATCAGACTAACAGCAGACTTCTCAGCTGAAATCCTAAAGCCAGAAGAGATTGGGGGCCAATCTTCAACATCTTAAAAAAAAAAAAATCCAATCTGGCAAAACTAAGCTTCATAACCAAAGGAGAAATAAGATCAGTTTCAGACAAGCAAATGGTAAAGGAATGTGTTACTACCAGACCTTCCTTACAAGAGTTACTGAAGGAAAAACTAACTATGGAAAGGAAAGCCCCTGCAAAAACACACTAAAGTACAAAGACCAGTCACACTATAAAGCAACCATATAAACAAGTCTGCAAAACAACCAGCTTAACATCATGATGACAAGATAAAAATCCATACATATCAATGCTAACCTTCAATGTAAATAGGCTAAATGTCCCAATTAAAAGACAAAGAACGACAAGCTGGATAAAAAATCAAGACCCATTGAAATGCTGTCTTCAAGAGACCCATCTCACATGCAGTGAGAAACATAGGCTCAAAATAAAGGAATGGAGAAAAGCCTACCCAGCAAATGAAAAACAGAAAAAAGGTAGGGGTTCCAATCCTAGTTTCTGATGAAAGAGACTTAAAAGCAACAAAGGTCAGAAAAGACAAAGAAGGGCATTATATAATGGTAAAGGATTCAATACAAGAAGATCTAACTCTCCTAAATATATATGCACCCAACATAGGAGCACCCAGATTCATAAAACAAGTTCTTAGAGACCTTCAAAGAGACTTAGACTCCACACCTCTATGTACATAAACTAGAAAATCTAGAAGAAGTGGATAAAATTCCTGGACACATACACCCTCCCAAAACTGAACCAGGAAAAAATGGAATCCCTGAACATACTAATAATGAGCTCTAAAATCGGGACAGAAATAAATGGCCTACCAACCAAAAAAGTCCTAGGACCAGACAGATTCAGTTGAATTCTACCAGATGTGCAAAGAAGAACTGGTACCATTTCTACTGAAACTATTCCAAAAATTAAAGAGAGGGACTCCCTCCTAACTCTATGAAGTCAGCATCACCATGATACCAAAACCTGGCAGAGATACAAAACAAAATAAAAAAAAAAACTTCCAGCTAATATCCTTGCTGAACATTGTGGAGAAATCCTCAACAAAATACTGGCAAAGTGAATCCAGCAGCAAGTTGAAAAACTTATCCACCATGATCAAGTAGGCTTTATCCCTGGGATGCAAGCTTAGTTCAACATACACAAATCAATAAATGTGATTCATTATGTAAACCAGAACTAAAGACAAAAACAACGCTATTATATCAATAGATGCAGAAAAGGCTTTTGATAAAATTCAACGTCCATTCATGTTTAAAAAAACTCTTAATAAACTCTGTATTGAAAGAACATACCTCAAAATAATAAGAGCCACATATGACAAACCCACAGCCAACATTATATTAAATGGGTGAAACCTGGAAGCATTCCTTTTGAAAACTGGCAAAAGACAAGGATGTCCTCTCTCACCACTCCATTCAACATAGTATTGGAAGTTCTGACCAGGGTAATCAGGCAAGAGGAAGAAATAAAGGGCTCCCAAACAGGAAGAGAGAAAGTCAAGATCCCTGTTTGCAGATAAAGTGATCTTATGTATAGAAAACCCTATAGTCTTATCCCAAAAACTTCTTAAGCTGATAAACAATTTCAGCAAATTGTCAGGATACAAAATTAATGTGCAGAAATAACTAGCATTCCTATACACCAACAACAGTCAAGCCAAGAGTAGAATTAGAAACAAACTCCCATTCATAACTGCCACAAAATAATAAAATACCTAGGAATACAGCTAAAACCAGGGATTTGAATGATCTCTACAAGGAGATCTATAAATCACTGCTCAAAACAATCAGAGATAATTCAAATAAATGAAAAAACATTTCATCCACATGGATAAGAAGAATCAATATCGTGAAAATGGACATACTGCCCAAAGCAATTTACAGATTCAATGCTATTCCTCTTTTTTTATTTGTTTAAACTAATTCAATTCTCATTTTATTTTATTTTATTTTATTATTATTATACTTTAAGTTTTAGGGTACATGTGCACAACATGTAGGTTTGTTACATATGTATACTGCGATTCTTCACAAAACTAGAATAAACTATTGTAAAATTCACATGGAAGCAGAAAAGAGCCTAAATAGCCAAAGCAATTCTAATCAAAAAGAAGAAAGCTGGAAGCATCACACCACCTGACTTCAAACTATCCTACAGGGATACAGTAACCAAAACAGCATGGCATTGGTATAAAAATACAGACAAAAACCAATGGAAAAGAATAGAAAACCCAGAAATAAGACCACACACCTACAACTATCTGATCTTCAACAAACTTGACAAAAACAAGCAATGGGGAAAGGATTCCCTACTCAATAAATGATGCTGGGATAACTGGCTAGCCATGTGCAGAAGACTGAAAATGGACCTCTTTCTTACTCCATATACAAAAATTAACTCAAGATGGATTAAAGACTTACTTAAATGTAAAAGCCAAAACTATAAAAGCTCTGGAAAACATCTTAGACAATACCATTCTGGCCATAGGCACAGGCAAAGATTTCATGATGAGGACACCAAAAACAATTGCATCAAAAGCAAAATTTGACAAATGGGACCTAATTAAAGAGCTTCTGTGCAGCAAAACTGTCATCAGATTAAACAGACAACCTACAGAATGGGAGAAAATTTTTTGTAAACTATGTATCTAACAAAGGTCTAATATTCAGCATCCATAAAGAACTTTAACGAATTTACAAGAAAAAAAAGTCCTATTAAAAAGTGGGCAAAGGACATGATAAAACTCTTTTCAAAGGAAGACATGCATGTAGCCAACAAGCATATGAAAGAAAGCCCAACATCACTGATCATTAGGGAAATACAAATCAAAACCACAATGAGATACCATTTCACACCAGTCAGAATGGCTGTCATTAAAAAGTCAAAAAAAAAAAAAACCACCCAGATGCTTGTGAGGTTGTGGAGAAAAAGGAACACTTATACACTGTTGGTGGTAGTGTAAATTAGTTCAACCATTGTGGGAGACAGTGTGTGATTCCTCATAGACCTAAAGACAGAAATACCATTCAAACCAGCAGTCTCATTACTGGATATATACCCAAAGGAATATAAATCATTCTATTTTAAAGATACAGGCATACATATGTTCACTGCAGCACTATTCACTATAGCAAAGACACGGAATGACCATCAATAATAGACTGAATAAGGAAATGTGGTACATATACACCATGGAATACTATGCAGCCATAAAAAAAGAATGAGACCATGTCCTTTGCAGGGACATGGATGGAGCTGGAGGCCATTATCCTTAGCAGACCAACGTAGGAACAGAAAACCAAATACCACATGTTTTCACTTAAAAGTGGGAGTTGAATTATGAGAGAAATGGACACATAGAGAGAAACAACATACACTGGGGCCTGTCAGAGGGAGAAGGGAAAAGATCAGGAAAAATAAATAATGGGTACTAGGCTTAATACCTGGGTAATGAAATAATCTATACAACAAACCCCATGACACAGGTTCACCCATGTAACAAACCTGCATATGTATCTCAGAGCTTAAAATAAAATTAAAAAAAGAAGATTCACTACAAAAAAAAGAAAATAAAGCTGCAATGTGCACCCTTGTAGACATACCTTTACACACATTTAAATGTTCTTATAAATTCCAGGGTTTTAATATTTAAGACAGAAGATAAGGCATTTGTTTGTTTGTTTGTTTGTTTGGAGACAGAGTCTCTCTCTATTGCCCAGGCTGGAGTGCAGTGGCGCAATTTAGGCTCACTGCAACCTCTGCTTCCTGGTTCAAACAACTCTCCTGCCTCAGCCTCCCATGTAGCTGAGACTACAGGCACATGCCACCACGCCTGGCTGATTTTCTTTATATTTTAGTAGAGATGGGGTTTCACCATGTTGCCTAGGTGGTCTCAAACTCCTGAGTTCAGGCAATCCGCCCGCCTTGGCCTCCCTAAGTGCTAGGATTACAGGCGTGAGCCACTGCACCTGGCCTGACATTTTTAATTTGGTTTGCATAGTTCCACCATTTTTCTACTCCTTATAGAAGTGTGAGAGTGCCCATTTCTAAGAAATCTATGAAATAATATTTTTTTTTACTTTGTCAGTTTTGTTGGTAAACATTTCAACTCATTAATCATTTTTAGAGAGTAAAAATGTAAAAGAATTAATCTCTACTATAAAAAAATTAAAAGAATTTCTATAGGCCAAAAGATAATGATATCACATAGAAATCTAGTTTATAAGAAAGAATGGAGAACAGCATAAAAAGTAAATTGGTCAGTAATTATTAGCAGCCCTTGAAATTACTTCTATACTTACACATATTTTGTTGTCTTCCTAAAGATAATTAACATTTAAATAAAAAATAATAACAAAAATATGTTTATAGAATATTTAGAAGTAAAATATCTGACAACTGAAAAATATATTGTCATAAATTTCTTAAATTTTTATGACATAATAGGATTTTTTAATATAGACTGTGAAAAATTATAAATGCATATTTGTTATCTAAAGAAACACCACTGGAAAACAGAAAGAGGAATGACTAAAATGAGATAAAATGTGTACTTACAAAAATTAAATATAAACATTAAAGCATAAAAGGTTTGAAAGCTAAAGGATTTTTTAAAAAAGATTCATTATGTAAACAGTAAGCATAAAAAACCTGGTACAGCTATAATAATACCTAGCAAAAAACTTGAGGATAAATAGTATTACCTAGAAATTAGAAAACATATTTAATTGGATGATAATAAATGCACAACAAATTAAAATTAGTGAAATGCATCTAACTCAATTCTTAAAGGAAATGTATAGTTTTAAATGTAACATTAGATGAGTAGAAAGGTATAAAGCAATGACTTTTGTTTCCAAGTTTAGAATCTTTGAACAGTAAAAATAGAACCTAAAATAAACATAATAAACAAAATAATAAAATTAAAATAGAAAAAAGAAACACAAAAATAATAGAGAAAATCAACAAAACCAGAAGTTAATTCTTTGATAAAATTAACGGAATTAATAAGTCACTAGAATGACTTTTAATAAATGAGAGAGAGAGAAAGACCCAATGTAACACAAAGAATGAAAAGAGGAACTTCCTCAGAGATGCTGCTAAAACTACCAGTCTAATAATGGAATATCATGAACAACTTTATCCCAATAAGTTTAAAAACTTAGATTAAATGAAAAAAATTATTAAGGCATAAATCACCAAAACTGATTAAAGAAAAAATAGAAATGCTAAATAGCCATCTAGCCAATAAATAAACTCAATTATAATTAAACAAATATCCTCAGCTCCCCTACACACACACACACAAACACACACATACACACACACAGAGGAATAAACAAAAAATACTTTAGGCCCAGACAGCATCACCAGCAAATCTCAATAAACATTTAAATAATAATCCATACTAATTGTATACAAAAATTTCAGAAAATACAGAAGAATGAACATTAACAACTCATTTACTCATCTTATGAGGCCAGTATTTCTCATTATCAATACCAGACAAGAACATTACAAGAAAATAGATTATTGACAAAATGTTTTTGAAAAATATATTCAGAAATTCTTAAAAGTATAAATCAAATCCAACAATATTTAGAGCTCAGATACCATACTCAAGTTGAGTATATCACAGCAACTCAAGATTAGTTTAATATATGATAATCTATTGATATAATTCACTGCTTTTGTAGCTTAAGGCCAAAAATGTTATATAAATATTTAATAGATGAAGTTGGCATTTGACAAAAAAAGCCCCTATAATTTCCAAGCCTCTTAGCAAACTAGGAACAGAAGGAAACTTCTTCAATGTGATAAGTGACAATCTACAAAAATTCGCATTTAATATATTTAACAGTGAAATATTAGATATTTTCCTTCTAAGATGATGTAAAAGGGAAAGATGTCTGACCTAGTGACACCTATTGAACAATCTATCAGAATTGACAATATTTTGCTAAAGAGAAATAAGAAAATTATAGCAATAAATGCAGAAAAATAATAAAGATCTCAAATCAATGCCTTTATTATTCACCTAAAGAAACTAGTAAAAGAAAACAAACCCCAACTTATGCAGAAGAAAGCAAAAATAAAGATCAGTGTGGTAAACAACAAAGGGGAAAACAAGAAAATCATAGAAAAATCCAATTAAAACTTTGAGAACACCAATAAAATTGAGGAACCTCTTGTCAGACTAATCATGAAAAAAAGAAAACACAAATAACAATGTGAAGAATAAGAGCAGTGACATCACTAAATTTTTTTTAAATTTTTAAATGGCAATCAAGGAATACTATGAATAGCTTTGTGCCAATAAATTCAAGAACTTTGATGGAATCAACAAATTATTTGACAAACTCAAATTTCCAAAGCTTAGTCAAGAATAAATAAATAACTTTAAAAGCCCTATATCAATTAACTATTGGAATTTGCACTTAAAAATATTTTCACAAAAAACACCTTAAGCAGCACAAAACTTCAATGGTGAATGCTAGCAGAAACTTATGAAAAAATATCAATCCCAAAAATTATAATTTAAACTAAAACTAAAATTTAAAGAGGAAGAAATTACTTTCCAACTTATTCTTTGATCCAGCATTACTGATTCCAAATCCAAAGTCACTACAAAACAAAACTTCATGCCAACATCCCTTTTTTAAGAGAAACAATACACCATAACCAGGTGCAGGAATAAACACCTGGTTTAACATTTAGAAATCAATCAATATCAATATATAATTCACCATATTAAAATACTTTTAAAAAAACCCAAGTAATAACATCAATAATTGAAGACAAAGCTTTGGACAATGTCTCACAGATCTAATAAAACTCTCAATGAACTAGGCATATAAGGAAACTTTCTTAACCTCATAAAGTGCATATACAAAAAAAACTTATTGTTTACATCATACTCACTTATTGTGAAAATTAAACACTATTTCTCTAAGATTATGAACCTAGCCTGAGCAATAAGACATAAAAAAGAATCAAAATTAGACATATTGGTGAGAAAGAAATAAAAACGCTCATATCAGGAAATGATCTGATCATCTATTTAAAAATCCTATGAAATCTATAAAAAACTATTAGAATAAATGAATTTAGCAAGATCAGTATATAAAAAGTATATTTCTGTATACTAACCATGTAAAATTAGAAATAGAAATTAAAAATCAATAACAAATAGCATCAAAATTATGAAATACTTAAGAGTAAATCTGACAAAGAAATGGAAAGCCTATACTATAAACTATAAAACTATAAAACATTGTTGAGAGAATTAAAAACCTAAACGAATAGATGTAGTGTGCTTATAAATTGCAAGTTCAAATATTGTTAATGTAAGAACATGTATGAAGAGCAAATATGCTCATGAAAATTTGCTTAACTTCATTAGTGATTAGAGAAATGCAATCAAAACCCAAAAGATACACTATTACACACTACTAGAATGTCTGAAGTTGAAAAGACTGACTATATCAAGTTCTGTAAAGGATGCAAAAGAACTAGAACTTTCATACACATAATCACTTTGGAAAACTATTTGGCAGCTTCTAAAAACTGAATACATTTACCTACCACATGATCAGACATTCCACTTCTAGGTGTTTACTCAAAAGAAATGAAAGTATGTGTATACACACACTTAAACGAAATATTCATAGCTTCTGTAAAACTAAAAACTGAAAATAATCCAAATGTCCATCACCAAGTGGATGGATAAACAAATTGTGATATATCCATACAATGAAATTCTACTCATCATTAAAAAGGAATGTCCCATTGATATGCACATGAACATTCAAGAATTTTAGAATAATTATGCTGAGTGAGATCACAAAGTGAAATGAGAAAACTTTGCAGTGAACAATACTTTTAATTTCTTGATTGTAGTGATGATTTCACAAGAGTCACAACTTAGCAAATTATACACTTCAAACTCGTGGAACTTATTATTTCAATTGTACCTTAATAAAGCTGTTAAAAACTAAAAGAAAATAGATAAGTACTAATATGAGAAGATGTATAAGAAATATCAAGTAAAAAATATCAGGGGAATAATATGTATATTATGATCCTAATTTTGTACAAAAATGATACATGTACATGTTTGCATAAAACTAAAAATCTAAAAATAGAAATTTACACTCACAGTGGACCACATAAGAGAGGTAGAGAAGGATTAGGGAATAGCAGTAAGTAGGATTTTTGCTTTATACATAACACATTTTCACAAAAAGCAAACTATTAATTTGACATTTAATTTACATAAATAATGGCCTTAAAGGAATTAGGACTCCCTCATATATATATGTTATAACTCTTTCTGTCTCATTCCTGATTTGTATTTCACCAAGAAAAATTATTTTTTATTTCAAGATGTGCAGCACAAAGTGAGTGTTTGCCTTTTCTAAGGTTATTTTTTAAATTTTAGACTTTAGTCTTGTAGTTTTGGCTACTCCAATATATGTATAGAGATATAGATAGATATATATTTAAATTAAAAAAAAAACTTTTGAACATCAGGTAAATAAAACCAAAATTTAAAATGATGATAAACTAAATCTATATAGAAATATGTTTTTCATTCCAACTAGTAGTAAATTAAAATCTTTGTTAAATATTTAGACCCTGGTATATCTACAGATGGTCTCTCTGTGTGAGTGAAATCTAAAATAAACAGAAGAAAATAGCTAAAACAGTCAAAGTGGCAAACTTAGGACTCAGAAATCTGGCTGCCTCTAGGGGATAATTGCATTTCTTTCCAGGTAACCTCTCACCTTGAATTAATGAGAACATGTAGATATTGTTTTTTAACTTTATCTCTATTTTGTATATAACAGATCAAAAGAAAAGAAACCACCAAAAAAAAAAATGCTCTATGAATCTTTACCCATAACAATCCTAGACTGAACATTTTCATAGATAGGTCAGTTTAAGGACACAACAAATTCTTTACATCTAAATAGCCAACATTTCAAATGGATAACAGCCTGATAATGTTATATAATTCTTATAAATTAATAATGAGATTTAAATGTCAAAACCCCCTATAGTCAATAAAAGAAACCTATGGTAAAGAAACCTATGATTCCCACCTAGACATGTTGTTATAGAAATCATTTTTTACTTAAAATAACCTTGCAACATGGTAAATTGCCAACTTAACAAATGGTTTGTAACAAATCGTTTTTGTTCTAAAAATTCATTTGCAAATCTTATTATTTGGAAATTGAAATAATTTATTTGTTTAAAAAGCAATGCTGGATTTGGTTCCAGGCAAGATACTAAGGTTTAACATTACATAAAGTTTAAAATTACTAAGCTTATTTTAGTGCCTAACATATGTACAGCATATCCTGTGATTGCTAAGGAATAATAGAAACACCATTTCAAATATTGATTTTCATAAACAACATAATCCCCTCCTAAAGTGGTACTGAGGAGTTCCCATTTTCTACATATTCTTCTTTCTGACATGAAGCAGAATCAAAAACAAAACTATAAAATGCCTTTATAAAGCAAAACAAACTTCCTGTTCAAGATGGAAGACTGAAAATATTCATTAATTTCATCTGCCTGTGTAGATCTATTAAGATGAAAATAAGTTAAAAGAGCATTGACTCACTAATATTTCGATTTCAACAAAACTCTGGAAAATGGGAAGAGGTTGAAAAGAAGTCAAGCATAACAGAAGAAACATAAACTAGAATGCATTCTGTAGTAACTTCTTTTGAGGGAGGAGCCAAACTGTCTACCAAACCCCACAGAAGCTCTGCACTCAAAAATGGTGAAACACTATAGATTGGAAATAAAAATTAGGACTGAAACATAGTTTATTTAAAATTCTGTATACTGACATGCAACCCCCACACAGAATGACTGACAACCAGGTATTTATTTTAAACTAAAATTCAGGGGGTTCTTTGTGCTGCATAAAGCAGGTTAATTTGCAGTTAGATGAGAATAGCTCTGTGAGTATCTCCAGAATGCCTACCAGTGAGATATAAATGACCATTCATTAATTGTGCCATGGTTCCCCTGAAACCAAGATATCTTGTACATATCTTGATAGTTTGTAATGTGAAAATGAAGCATGTCCTGTGCAACTGAGAAAATATTCAAGTGTGATGCAACTTTGCCTGCATTTTATCTCTTCTGTTATACAGAATTGCCCTTACTTTTTTATTAAAGCCTTACCTGAGTATACCCTGTGTAGTCTTAAGAGTCCTTTCAACTATCTGAACTTGAGCAGTTTCTGTATTTACTAAATGAATGGAATAAAATATATGGACAGAAGTTGGCAAATTACTAAGGGTGTGGCATCCAAAGTGATGTACTCCAATTTTTACTGCTTAGGGTCTCATAAATTAATGTACACTCACTCTAAAGTAAAACCAGCCAGTTTACAAATCCCTACTTATACAAAGCATATAATTCTTTCACTCTTAAATGAATTAGCAAAAAGGAATCGCTAGACATTTGTGGGGGGAAATATACTTGACTTGAAACACAAATAATAAGATAAATAAATAAGAAAACTGACCAAGGAGGAAACAGATATAACCTAAGAAAACAATATTCTAAAAAATCACCATCCTCAGTGAGACTCAAGAAAATACAATAAGTCAAATTATAATACTTTGCAATTAAGTCAAATGTTTGAAAATTAAAATTACTATATAATTTTATATAGTAATTTTATATATTACTATAAAATATTATATTTTATATTTATATATTATATAATATTAAATATTATATAATATATATCAGCTCTCAGCTTTCCCCCAGGGAGGGAAAGTATTGATCCATGTATCCAATATCCCAACTTCTCTGGGATGCCTAAAAACCTGGCAACATACTTGTCATTCTTGAAACTCTGCTGGGTTCAGCACAGATTAACCACCTGGGAGAAAATGAAGATGATATCTTGGGATGGTATATCCCATAGCTCTGCACCACTGGCTGAGTACAGAGTAAGCAGACAAAAATCAGCTACCTGCTGATTTTTGTATGTTGATTCTGTATCCTGACATTTTACTAAATGTGTTAACTCCAACAGCCATTTTATAGAGTCTTTAAGGTTTTGTGTATATGATTATATCTTCTGAAAACAGGAACAATTTATTTTCAGTTTGGATGCCTTTTATAATGCACTATAAATGAACTAACTGAATAGGAAATTTTTTAAAAATCACATTTATATTAGCACCAAAAAGAATAAAATACTAAGGAATAAGCTTAATCAAGGAAGTGAAAAACTTGTGTACTGAAAACTACAAAATATTAATTAAATTAAAGAAAAAACAATTAGAAAGAAATTCTGTATTCATGAATGGAAGACTTAATATTGTTAAAATATCGATACTACTCAAAGTGATCTACAAATTCAATGAATTCTGTACTAAAATACCAATGAATTTTTTTTACAGAAATAGAAAATCAATTCTACTGTTCATATGTATTATAATCTGATAGGGTTTGGCTGTGTCCCCACTCAAATCTCATAATGAATTGTAATTCCCATAATCCCACGTGTTGTGGAAGGGACTCAATGGGAGGTAATTGAATCATAGGGGTGGTTTCCCCCATGCTGTACTTATAAGAGTGAGTGAGTTCTCACGAGATCTTATGGTTTTATAAGAGGGTTTTCTCCACTTTACTCAGCACTTCTCCTTCCTGCCACCATGTGAAGAAGGACGTGTTTGCTTCCCCTTCCACCATGATTGTAAGTTTACTGAGGCCTCCCCAGCCATGCTGAACTGTAAGTCAAATAAACCTCTTCCCTTTATAAATTGCCCAGTCTTGGATATGTCTTTATTAACAGTGTGAGAACAAACTAATACTTAGTCTGAATGCTTAACTCCTCCCAAAATTCATGTTGAAATTAATCACTCATATGATGGCTTGAGGAGGAGGGGCTTTTTGGAGTTGAGGATGAAGGCTTCATCAATGGAATTAGTGCCTGATATGGTTTGGCTCTGTGTCCACACCCAAATCTCATCTCAAATTGTAGTCCCCACGTGTCAAGGGAGGAACTTGGTGGGAGGTGATTAGATTATGAGGGTGGTTTCCCCCATGCTGTTCTTGTGACAGTGAGTGAGCGCTCAAAAAATCTGATGGTTTTAAAGTGTGGCACTTGCCCTTTGCTCGCTCTCTCTTCTGTCACCATGTAAGACTTGCCATGCTTCCCCTTCAACTTCTACCATGATTGTAAGTTTTCTGAGACCTCCCCAGCCATGTGGAACTGTGACTCAATTAAACCTCTTTCCTTTATCAATTACCAAGTCTTAGATGGTATCTTTATAGCAGTGTAAAATGGGCTAATACAGTGCCCTTATAAAATAGACCCATAGGAACTCGTTCACCCCTCCCACCACATTAGGACATAGCAAGAAGGTGACATAAATGAAACAGGTTCTCACCAGACACCAGATCTGCCAGCAACTTGATCTTGTACTTCCCAGCCTCCGTAAATGTGAAAAATAAATTTCTGTTGTTTATAAGCTGCCCAGTCTATGAATTTTGTTATAGCAACCTGAAAAGACTAAGACAATATGGAAATACAGAAGATCATGAATAGCCAAATCAATCCTGAGAAAGAAGAACAAAGCTGGAGGCATCACAGTTTCTGATTACAGGGTATCTTAGAAAGCTTCAGTAATTAAAACAGTGTGGTACTTGTTTAAATGCAGGCACACAGACTAGACTAATGTCATGGAATAGAGAGCCTAGAAATAAATCCAAATGTATACAATCAATTGATCTTCAAAAAGCATGTCAAAAATACACAGTGGGTGAAGTATAGTATCCTCAACAAATGGTGTTGGGTAAACTGGAATATGCAAAATAAGAACATTGCATCCTGATTTTATACCATTACAAAAAACTCAAAGTGGATTAAAGGCTGAAATGTAAGACTTAAAAATGTAACCTCCCAGAAAAAAAACATTAGGAAAATCTTTATGATATTGGCCTGGTAAATGATTTCATGAATATGACACCAAAAGCACAGGCAACAAAAACAAAAATAGACAAATGAGACTACATGAAACTAAAAAGCTTCTTCACAGTAAAGGAAACAACCTACAGAGTAAAAAAGCAACTAGTATAATGAAAGAAAATATTTCAAACAATATATCTAACAAGAGGTTAATCTTCAAAATATCTGAGGAATTTCTACAACTCAAGATCAAAAAACTAATAAATTAATTAAAAATGGGCTAAGGATGTGAAAAGATATTTCTCCAAATAAGTCATACAAATGGCCAGCAGGTATATGAAACATGCTTAGTGACTAATAATTTAGGAAATAGAAGTTAAACTCACAATGATATATCACCTCAAACCTATCAAGATGGCAAAAGACAGTGTTGATGAAAATGTGAGGAAGTTAGAATCTTTGTACATTGATATGGTTTGGCTGTGTTCCTACCTGAATCTCGTCTTGAATTGCAGTTCCCATAATCCCTATATGTAGCGGGAGGGACCAGGTGGAAATAATTGAAACATGGGGGCAGTTGCCCCATCCTGTTCTCATGATAGTGAGTTAGTTCTCATGAGAGCTGATGGTTTTATAAAGGGCTTCCCCCTTTGTTGGGCACTCATTCTTCTCTCTCCTGCCACCATGTGGAGAAGGACATGTTTGCTTCCCTTCCACCATGATTGTAAGTTTCCTGATGCCTCCCCAGCCATGCTGAACTGTGAGTCAATTAAACCTCTTTCCTTTATAAACTACCCAGCCTCAGGTATGTCTTCATTAGCAGCATAAGAATGAACTAATAGAGTAAATTGGTACTGAGTAGTTGGGCACTGCTGTAAAGATATCCAAAAATGTGGAAGCGACTTTGAAACTGGGTAAGAGGCAGAGTCTGAAACAGTTTAGAGTGCTCAGAGATAGGAAAATGTGGGAAAGTTTGGAACTTGCTAGAAACTTGGAGGGCTCAGAAGACAGAAAGATGTGGGAAAGTTTGGAATTTCCTAGAGACTTGTGGAATGGCTTGACCAAAATGCTGATAGATAGTGATATGAACAATGACATCCAGGCTAAGGTGGTCTCAGATGGAGATGAGGAACTTGTTGGGAAATGGAGCAAAGGTAACTCTTGCTGTGCTTTAGCAAAGAGACTGGTGGGTTTTTGCCCTTGCCCTAGAGATCTGTGGTACTTGGAATTTAAGGGAGATTATTTAGGGTATGTGGTGGAAGAAATTTTTGAGTGGCAAAACATTCAAGAGGAAGCAGAGCATAAAAGTTTGGATAATTTGTAGCCTGAGGATGCAGTAACAAAGAAAAACCCATCTTCTGGGGAAAAATTTAGGCCAGTTGCAGAAATTTGCATAAGTAATGAGGAACCCAATGTTAATCACCAAGACAATAAGGAAAATGTCTCCAGGGGATGTCAGAGAAGTCGTGGCAATCCCTCCCATTACAGGCCCAGAGGCCTAGGAGGGAAAAATTGTTTCCTGGCTCAGGTCCCCAGACCTTCTGCTGTGTGCAGCCTCAGGACTGCCTCCTAGCAGCTTTAGTTATGGCTAAAGTGAGCCAAGCTACTGCTCACATCATGGCTTCAGAAGGTGCAAGCCCCAAGCCTTGGCAGCTTCCATGTGGTGTTGAGACTGTGGGTACAGAGAAGTCAAGAATTGAGGTTTAGGAACCTCCACCTAGATTTCAGAGGATGTATGGAAATGCCTGGATTTCCAGAGAACCTCTCCTAGGGCAATGTGAAAGAGAAATGTGGGGTCAGATCCCTCACATGGAGTCCCCACTGTGACACTGCCTAGTGGAGCTGTGAGAAGAGGGTCACCATCCTGCAGACCCCAGAATGGTAGATCCACTGACAGCTCATGTGCCTGGAAAAGCTGCAGGCACTCAATGCCAGCCTGTGAAAGCAGCCAGGAGAGGGGCCATCCCTGAAAAGCCACAGGAGCAGAGCTGCCCAAGGCTATACAAGACCACATCCAGTGTGACCAGGATGTGAGGCACGGAGTCAAAGGAGATCATTTTGGAACTTTAAGGTTTAATGATTGCCCTATTGCATTTTGGGCTTCCATGGGCCTGTATCTCTTTGTTTTGGACAATTTCTCCTATTTGGAATGGGTGTATTTACCAAATGCCTGTTACCTCCATTGTATCTAGGAAGTAACTAACTTGTTTTTGATTTTACCGGTTCTTAGGCAGAAGACACTTGCTTTGTCTCAGATGAGACTTTGGACTGGGACTTTTGAGTTAATTCTGGAATGAGTTAAGGCTTTGGTGGAATGTCGGAAGGGTGTGATTGTGTCTTGAATTGTGAGGACATGAGATTTGAGAGAGGCCGGGGACAGAATGATATGGTTTGGCTGTGTCCCCATCCAAATCTTATCTTGAATTGTAGTTCCCATAATCCCTATGTGTCATGGGAGGGACCAGGTGGAGAAAATTGAATCATGGGGAGAGTTTCTCTCATCCTGTTCTATAGTAGTGAGTTAGTTCTCAAAAGATTGGGCGGTTTTATGAGGGGCTTCCCCCTTTGATGGGCAGTCATTATTTTATCTCCTTCTGCCACGTGAAGGACGTGTTTGTTTCCCCTTCTGCCATGATTGTAAATTTCCTGAGGCCTCCCCAGCCATGCTGGACTGTGAGTCAATTAAACCTCTTTCTTTTGTGAATTACCCAGTCTCAGGTATGTCTTTATTGTAGCAACCATGGAAAACTATATGGAGGTTTCTAAAAATATTAAAATTGTCATACCATGTGATCTAGCAAGCCCACATATAAGCATATATCCAAAATAACTGAAATCAAGATCTTGAAGAGACATATGCATTTCAATGTTTATTGCAGCAATATTCACAATAACCAAGATGTGAAAACAACTTAATTGTACATCCACGGATGAAAGCATAAAGAAAATGTGATATATACATTCAATGGAATACTATTTTGACTTTAAAGAAAGGAAATCTTGCCATTTGTGATAACGTGTAACTTTGAGGGCATTATGCGAATTGAAGTAAGCCAGTCACAAAAGACAAATACTATGAGGTGTCTAACTAAAATAGTCAAATTCATAGAATCAAAGTGTGCAATAATGGTTCCCAGGGCTAGAGGGAGAGGAAAAATAGGGAGTTACTTTTTTATTAACCATTTTTTATTTATTTTTAATTGAAGCTAAAAAGTGTATATATTTAAGGTATAAACATGATGTTTTCATATCTGTACACATTGTAGAATGGCTAAATCAAGTTATTTAACATATGCATTACCTCACATCCTTATTTTTTGTGGTGATTAAAATCTATTCTCTTAGGAATTTTCAAGTATATGATATAGCATTATTAACTGTGGTCAACATTTTATACTATAGATCTCTTGAACTTATTTCTGTCTACATAAAATTTTGTTCAATAATAATTTTATTTTTTTAATTAATAAAATCTTTGACTAATATCTCCTCACTCCCCCCACTCTCCATCCGCTAGTAACCATCACTTTACTCTCTGTTCCTAGGAGTTCAAATTTTTTTAACACTCCACAATAAATATGATGTAGTATTTGTCTTTCTGTGCACCTTAGCCTCCCAAGTCACTGGGACTGCAGACACATGCCAGGTCCAGCTAATTTTTCCTTTTTTTTTTTTTTGGTAGAGATGGGGTTTCCCATATTGCACAGGCTGGTCTCGAACTCCTGAGCTTAGGTAATCTGCCTGCCTTGGCTTCCACGAGTGTTGGGATTACAGGCGTGAGCCATTGTGCCCACCCCCCTATGTTTTAACATAATATAATGTTCAGGTTTGTCCAGGTTGTCACAAATGACAGGTTTTCCTTCTTTTTTGAGGCTGAATAGTATCTCATTGTGTATATATTCCACATTCTTAAATCTAGTTATCTGTTGATGGACATTGAGAATGATTCCATATCTTGGCTATTGTGATTAATGCTGCAGTGAACATGGGAGTCCAGATACCTCTTCCACATACTGATTTCATTTCCTTTGGATATATACCCAGTAGTAGAACTGCTGAATCACATAATAGTTCCATTTTTAATTTTTTTGAGGAATGTACATGATGTTTTCCATAACAGCTATACTAATTTACTTTCCCTCCAACAGTGTACAAGGGTTTCCTTTTCTCCATACCCTCACCAACACTTGCTCTTTTTCATCTTTTTGATAATACCCATGCTAACAGAAGTGAGGCAATATCTCATTGTGATTTTAATTTACTTTTCCCTGATGATTAGTAATGCTGAGCATTTTTTCATAAACCTGATGGCTACTTGTATGTCTTTTTTACAGAAAGGCTTATTCTGTTTCTTTACCCATTTTTTTAATTGGGTTATTTGTTTTCTTGCTAGTGGGTTGTTTGAATTCCCTATCTATCTTGGATATTAACCTCTTATCCAATGTACTACTTGCAAATATTTTCTCTCATTCTATAGGTTATCTCTTCATTCTGTTGATTGTTTCCTTTGCTATACAGAAGCTTTTTAGTTTCATGTAATCTCATTTGCCCATTTTTGCTTTTGTTGCCTGTGCTTTTGGGCCCATAGCCAAAACATCTTTGTTCAGACCAATATTATGGACTTTTTACCTTATGTTTTCTTTCTTTTTAATTTTTTTTTTCAGAGGGAGTCTCACTTTGTCACCCAGGCTGGAGTACATTGGAGGCATAAACCCCTCACTATAACTTCACTATAACAGCTCACTATAACCCCTACCTCCCAGGCTCAAGCAATCCTCCCACCTCAGCCTCCCAAGTCCCTGGGACCACAGACACGTGCCACCAAGTCCACCTAATTTTTTTTTGTTGTTGTTAGAGATGGGGTCTCACCATGTTGCCCAGGCTGGTCTCGAATGCCTGAGCTTAAGAATTCTGCCCACCTTGGCTTTCACAGGTGTTGGAATTACAGGCATGAGCCACTGTGCCCACCCCCCTATGTTTTCTTCTAGTAGTTATACAGTTTCAGGTCTTGTGTTTAAGTCTTTAATTCATTTTGAGTTGATTTTTGTATATGGTGTGAGATAGGGGACTAATTTTATTATTCTGCATGTGGATATCCAGTTTTCCTAACATACTTTATTGAACAGACTATCCTGTCTCCAGGAAATGGGGAGTTACTAATCAACAGGCATAAATTTTCAGTTAAGCAAGCAGAATAAGCTCTAGAGATCTACTGTACAACATTGTACCTATACCTAACATAATAATGTATACTTAACATTTTTTAAGACGGTATATCTCATTTTAAGTCTTCTTACCACAAGAAAGTAATACTTTTTGAAAAAAAGAAATAAAATGTTCAATAGGAAGGGTAAAATAAAGATTTTTTTTAACTGAGAGAATTGATAGGATATCTAGTGGTTTAATCCAGGAATTCAGCTACCCTGTTAATATTACTTTGAGGAAGGGAGAAGAAATACAAAATCTTTGAGAAATTAAGCAAAGAAAAAAAGACAAAAACATTTTGGAGCTAATTAGAGATGAGAATCTTCAAGATATATATTCTAAATTCCAACAAGGATGGATTTTTAAACTCACCAAAATAAATGTATTATTGTGAACTTTCAGACCACCAAGAATAACTAAAAGTTTTCAAAACAAAACAACAAACATTATAAAACAATGGATCACTCAAAGAATAAGGAGTTAGACTGGCATTAGAATTTTTATCAGCAATATTAAAGGTCAGACAACAATTATATCAATTCCTTTAAAGGTCTATGGGAAAATAATTTTCAGTCTAGGATTCCAGCCAAATTCATTAACAAGTGTGAGGTTAAGATTAAAAACATTTTTATAAATAAAAATGATCAGATGTTTTTTCTGCCATGCACACCATATTGGGAGGCTATACCTGAAGGTGTACAATGGCAATATTGGATTAGAAATCAAAAAAAGAAGAAATTATAGAATCTAGGAAACAATCAAGCACACAATAGGGACAGTGATGCAATAATACAGGATGGCAGGTTCTAAGCCACTTTAAATCACAATCTGTCCAGTACTAAGTAGAAAGACTGAGTGAACTACAGAGGCAGTTCTCCACATAAAAAGAAAAGGAAAGTGTTTGAATGAGAAATTCTGATGTAAAACATACAAAGTGAATGAGAAGCAATTAGAAACGTCAATAACCAGAAACTATACAGAAGCCAAGGTTCAAATATTAGGAAATGGTTTTAAATTAGATTTTAATTGGGAGGCTTTGATTGGGAGCCTGCCCATCTCGTGAATCATTAAGTCAGTGGACTTCAAAAAATAAATAGTTGCCAAGCATGGTGGCTCACAGCTGCAATCCCAGCACTTTGAGAGGCTGAGGCAAGAGGATCACTTGAGTCCAGACAGTCAAGGCTGTAGTGCGCCATGATCATGTCACTGCACGCCAGCTTGGGAAACAGTGAGACATTGATTCAAAAAACAAAAACAAAAACAAAAACTCACAGCTTCTAATTAACCCCAAGTTATTTTAAGATATGTATTGCATTTATTAAAGCAAACTAAATATAGCCCTTCTCAGGCTATATTTAGCCTGAGAAATACAGAAGGACTTCGTACTTCTATGTTTAAGTCCTTGTGGATGAACCATCACCTACATTAATAGGTAGACAAGATCAAAAACCTAACTTAAGAGTATGCGCTTGTAACAATAGCTGAGTCTTGACCAACCCCATCAGCCAATCCCAAATACTCATACACTGCTGAGTGTTCAAACTGTGTTCAAATAAGGCAAACACCAACCTGTAACCCATCCAGCTGTTTCTGCACCTCACTTCCAAATTCTGTATGTCACTTTCTTTCTTTCTTTTTTTTTTTCTTTTTGTCTGTACATTTGTTCTGACCACAAAGCATCCCTGGAGTCTCTCTGAAGGCATCTCTGGAGTCTCTCTGAATCTGCAGTGATTGGGAGGCTGCCCAACTCATGAATCATTTTTTTCTTGCTCAATTAAACTCTGTTACTTTTAATTTGTCTGAAGTTTTAACACATTCAAGCTAAAAAGTTTCATGACTATATATATCTTTGTATTAAAAAAATTTTTAAGAAGTATTGCCAGAAATAATATTAGGTCAGAAAACATATTGTGACATTATCCACTTGCATGTTTGTACCATTCATATCAGGATTCTTGAACCCTCATAGTGAGGGAAAAAAAGGTGCAAAGTACAAAGAAAACACAAATAACTGAAAGATCAAAACCACAGATAGCATCTATAGGGTAAACTCAAGATCAGAGAATGGTTAATATCTTCAGTTTATTTTAACAAATATCCTTTGAAAGGGAACTACAATATACTACGATTTTACTTAAAATATAAATAATTTTTAAAAACTTAATATGAATTATTCTACTTTTATAAAAATAAGATTTAAAATTTAATCCATTAAAATTATTGGCTTTGGTGTTTTTAAGGATATGAACAAAACTTTATTCTAAGGAAAATATTTCTGACCTCTTTCTTTCCCTTCCTGGTCTTTCAAAGCCAGATTCTCAAAACTTAAATTATTTTCAAATAATTCTTAATGAATTCTATCTTTTGAATGAGGATGGGAGTTTCACTGCACTTCTCAAAAATTATAGCAATATAGCAGTTTCAACAACTAAGAGTCTTTAAAAATATATCATGAATGAAATGATTTAAAATTGTTTTTAATGGTTTGTGCCTGAAAGTAGCAAAGTTACCCGTATCTGCATTCCTATAAACATGCAAAACAAATGTTTAGTGAGATACCGTAAGAGGAGAGGAGAAGGTCAGTCAAATGTAGATAAAGGGCTCTGACTTGGCTCTTAGTAAACTTATTGTCTAGATCTTGACAAAAGATGGCACTCAGGCCAATATAACTAACAATATTAAAGCTAGAGGTGAAGTTTCAGGACCCACTCAATATTGAGGATACTGAGAGACTTTAGAAATAAAAAGAGAGATTGTAGCTAAAGAGACACTCTTTAGAAACTATGAATCTGCTTTTTAAAGTGCCTTGAGATGAAAAATATTTTTAAACAGATATTTTTATGTATTTTAGTATATATTTTATACAATTATGTGTCTAATATGTATATTCTAGATTATATAAAAATAAACTTATTTCCTGTATTCCTACTTTCCCCATATATATTAAATAATATATTATTAAATTCTGTCTTCAGTACTTTTTCATTTCCCACTAGGGCAGAGTTGCTAGCTGCTCTGGTAATGGAACCCCAATTTGGCTGGGGCTCCCAAAACACACCATCACTCCATTTCAGTTATTGTGAGATGCTTAGGCATGCTCTATCCTCAGGTCTTTGCAACTGATATTCTCTTTGTCTTGAACGTCACCCCCCACTCCCAGATTTCTGCATGATTTCGTTGAAATCTTTACAATAAATTCTCTTGATAAGCTATCTAAGACATCAACGCATTATCTCTGTCTCTTGCCTTTTTTCTTATTATTTCTAGTTATCTAATATACATGTAGTTTATTCACTTATTGATTGTCTTTATCTCTCAATAGAATGTAGCTTTCAGGAGGCCAGAGGGTTTGTTTGTATACTGTCAACTCTCTAGAATAGTGATTGACATATAATAGGCATATGGTAAACATTGTTTAATAAGTGGATGTTTATAAAAATAATTCTGCTTTTATATACCCTTCCCTTTGTATCCATCCCAAGACATAGGTGCATAGGTGTTTAACCTGTTAATCAGAGACTTGGTTAATACTTGATTCTAGTTTGCAATTCTAAAAGAACTGTCTGACCTAGGGTAAATAATATAGAGCTACAGGGGTCAATAAATTCTGCACATGTGTCTGAAAGCTGGAACTCTTATTTATCAGCAAGCAGGGTTTGGAACATAAGGGTAGATACTGGAGTGTCAGAAGCGTGCATATTGAGCACCAAATTCCCCCAAGCTGAGAACTGTAAGGTCATTATTTTCTGCTTCTCACAGAAAGTAGAGCTGATGCCTCCCAACAGTCCAAACACTGGGATACAAACATTCATGTACTTTCAACTCCAGGACAGGGAGTAATTCCCTATGGAATAATTGAGAGGTGGACATGTAGCACCCGGTATGCAATCAAGAAGACCATACTTCCAAAGAAGAACTTCCTGAAGTGGAAAAAAGCTGGAGACTGTTAGTTGATTACATTATTCTCACCATAGGAGAGAGGCTGGAGCACCGAAGAACTGTGAGGAGACTGGCAGAGTACATGATGCAGAGGAGAGTGATGTGCTGGCTCAGGGCCCAAGAGAGGATGTGGTAGTACCCCAGGAACAAGACCACAGCAGATGCTGTTGGGAAGTACAGCACACATTGATAGTCAGTTGAAATGAGAAAATTTGGCCCAACTGTATCATAAAATTTAATTGTGATACAGTTGGTTGTGTCCTCCAAAAGTATATGGATCCCGGATAAGGAGCCTGAGGTCATTTTTCAAAATCAAAGCTAGGTCAGCAATAGAAACTAGAGGTTACATGGAAACACTTTTAGGCCTTGGTATATTGCATCTTTTTAGGTCCAGCTCTCAGAGGTATGGCTCCATTTCACGACTGGGGTAGAAACACATGTTGGGAGGAAAACCTGACCTCAGGACATGTGACCTACATTCACACTAGGTCTGGGGACTATTTATAAACACGATCACATAAGTATTGTAAATAGGGCTACCAAATGAAAGGCAGTCATTAGGGTCAGTGGGAACTTTAAGCACTTGACAATTTGATTTGCCCTTTCTTATGCTTTTGTAAATTTAATTATTTTTACATGTATGCTGCCAAGAAGAACACAGGTAAATTTTATTTAACAAATATTTATTAAAAACATACCATGTGCCAAGCACTATATTCCTGTGCACTACTTGGATTTTATTTGATTTTGATATTTTTTTTTCTTTTAGAAACAGGGTCTCACTCTGTTGCCCAGGCTGGAGTGCAGTGGTGTGATCACAGCTCATTGCAGACTCAATCTCCCAGGCTCAAGTGACTCTCCTGCCTTGGTCTCCCAAGTAGCTGGGACCACAGGCCCTCGTCATCATGCTCGACTAATTAAAAAAAAAAAAAAAAAGTATTTGTAGAGAGCTTGTCCCTATGTTTCCCAGGCTGGTCTCCAAGTACCTGGATTTTAAAAACAGAATTTTTAAAACTCTATTTTTAGGGATAATGTGTTGATGTCTTAGATAGCATATCCAGAGAATTTATTGTAAAGATTTGAAAGAAGAGAAGTAGTTGGTCATACAGAAATCTGGGGGGAAATGTCCAAGGCAAAGAGAATAACAGTTGCAAAGACCTGATTATAGAGCATGCCTAAGTATCCCAAAATAACTGAAGTGGAGTGATGGTGTGTTTTGGGAGCCTCCAGCCAAATTGGGGTTCCAGTACCAGAGCAGCTAGCAACTCTGCCCTAGAGGGAAATGACAAAGTACTGAAGATGACTGTTTAGAGTAATCATGGGATACTTCTTTTGCCTTACAGACAGCCTAATGTCTAGTTTTGTGGGGGAGAGCAGATGTCCCTCACACAGGAAACTTGTTTACTCTTATGGCTCTTGACTGACTCATGTCCAGTTTATGCCTGCCTGACCATCACTTTGGCACTGGGAGCCCGAATTTGTGTTCCTCCATGAATCCAGGGAGAAACCCAGGCTGGGGTAATTCCTGGTTCTTCAGATGGAAGGCACCAATTTAATACATCACCCCAATTAGAAACTAGTCCAAATATATTTAGTTATATAGATCCTGGGCAAAGGAGGGCATAATGAGTCAGGAGAGTAGTCATTCATCCCCAGGTCATGTGAAGCAGGAATGAAGAGTCAGGCAGAGAGAGAAGAGCACATGGCAGCTAGCAGTATATGTAAGGGAATAGGGTGTGGGTCACTTTAGGTTCACAGGCAAATCCATGAAATATCTCTTTAAAAATATGAACAGCAGGAAAGCAGGGAGCCCAGTTTGCTAGCCTGAAGTGATGCCTCTAAATTCTTATCCCTGGCCACCAACTTTAGCCATTTGATGTGATGTAAAACTGGAAACTGTCAAGGGTGACTGAGCCCTGCCTCTGGTATGAGAAAGTTAATCCTGCATTCAAAGATGGATACTGAGGCTATATAAATTTATAATCATTCACTAGATGGTGGAAGGCAGTATTTAGAGTCAGAGAGATAATTTGGGGTGGTAGTGTAACTGGAAGGGTAAAAACAGGGCATACAGAGTCTTGTTGGCCATAGTTAAAACTTTAGGTTTTGCTCCAATTAGAGGAGAAACTTGGAGATTTTTGAGTGAAAGAATGACATCATGTGACCACACAGGGCACTGGATTGACATCATCTAAACATGGGCAAAAGCAGAACCAGGGAGACCAGTGGTGATGATGAAAAGTGGCTAAATTCTGGTTTTACTTTGAAGATGGAACTGATAGGGGAGAAAGACAGGAGTCAAGTATTAAATCAAAATTTTCAGAATAAAAACTGGAAGAATGAATTGCCATTTACTGAGGTGTGGAAGACTCAAGGAGAAAAAGTAGTGGAGGAGGCATGTCAAGAGCTCAGAAATACCTGTTTAGAAAAAATTATTTTTAGATAAAAACAAATCATATTCATATTTTCACTGTGGTGAAAATCTGAATCAAAATATTGTTCCCTATTTTGTTAGATAAAAACATAATCATTTTGAGATTTCTGAAATTATTAACAGAATCCATTTTTAGTCATTTGCTAGGCCCATATCTGGAGGATTCTTCTCCTATCCAATATATGTATTACAGGAGAATATACCTGTAATTGAGTAATTAGGCCTGGAAACGAGCAGTTCATTTATTTTGGTCCTGAGAAAATATCATTAATCAAATTTATGAATGCAATGAAATCATTTCTTTCATGTTTATTAAAAGACATTATGAAAATATTATCTCTAGTCTCAGCTGACAGTTCTAAACTTAATGTGACTTTTAATCAATGGCAACAAAATCAATTATGTCGCCACTGGGGGCACCTTAAGAAATGTAAATTACTACCAGTCAAAAAGTCTTTCCCTTTGGATTTATATCGTCACAAATTTCTTTTAAAAGAAAACTAGGAGCATAAAAAAGGAAACTAGAACCATGTTTTTCAAGGATGTAGTGCTGTGTAGTGGAAAGTGCCCTTGTTTAGGAGAGAAAAATCAGTTTGTGATTCATTGTCCACTGTATACTAGCAGTGTAATATTTAAAAAGTCAGTGATTTTATTAAGTAGCAGATTCTTATTCTTTAAAATACTTTCCTATAGCACAATATAAATGTAAAATGGCATTGTTAATCTTTTTTCTTTTTTTCTCTCTTTTTTTTTTTTTTTTTTTTTGAGACAGAGTCTCGCTCTGTCGCCCAGGCTGGAGTGCAGTGGCGTGATCTCGGCTCACTGCAACCTCCACCTCCCAAGTTCACGACATTCTCCTGCCTCAGCCTTCCTACTAGCTGGGGCTACTACTACTACGCCTGCTACTATGCCAGGCTTTTTTTTTTTTTTTTCTGTACTTTTAGTAGAGACAGGGTTTCACCGTCTCGATCTCCTGACCTCGTGATCCGTCCGCCTCGGCCTCCCAAAGTGCTGGGATTACAGGTGTGAGCCAAAGAGCCCAACCGGCATTGTTACTCTTATGTTACATTTAAACATTTTTATAAGTATAATGATTTGCATTTATCACAGAACTCATTCATTTTTTTACTCATTCAAATATTTCTTCCTTGCTTAGTGCCAATCAAAGCTTGAAGTAAGATCTTTATTTGCTTGGGAAGCATAAGGCATGTATTCAAGGCAAGTGAAGGATGGATGGTTGGGTGAATGAACAGACAGATGAATCAATCAAATGATAGTGTGTTTCATAAATTTTAAACTATCATTCCAATATTGAGTTTTAATAGATGGGTAAAGTATCCACCTGCCATCATAATATGCTTTCTTTTCTCCACAATAATGGGAGATATTTTGGATTTTAAATGTCTTGGCAATGTTTTAATTTCAAGCCACATTGTTACCTTATGAGAAAATTTGGTACATTTTTCTATTCCCATCCCAAATGATGTACAGACATGATGTTTAGTACTTCTCATTAGAAGACCTACAATATGATTAAATGACATTAAGATTATCTAATTATAAAATAGAACTACAGATATGTCCCAATCTAAATACAACTCTCATTAAAATTTCCTAGTAGGAAATTACAGTATAAAAACAGAAATTTTCTTGTAACTTACAGTCAAAAGAAATTAAATTTTATTCATCGTTGTGAGTTAAAATCTCCACAAAATTAATAACCCAAAATGTATTCTCCTCAATGTGTTATTCCCCTCATTCTCAACAGGGTGGATTCTTAATGCTGGGGAGAAGGAGCCTTCAGCAGCTCCAACCTTGGTAATTCTTTTGGTAACTTAAGACAGAATATAGTTATTGGTAAGTCTGTCATAAGCTACATTTTTTAAAGATCAAAAAATTTAATAAGATACACAATATTATCACAGTATTTACCCTATATCCATGGAACTTAGAAAACAAACCATTATTCAGCTACTAGAAGTTATCACAGACAAAACTATGTTTTGAAACTCAACACAATAATGCCAGATATCACACAAGGTCTCAGAGACATCTGAGGGAAGGAAAGTTAACAGAAAGAATCTTTGTGTCAACCTTGCTAAGATGTCAGTCAATCTATGAGAGATATGCCAAATTTTCCACCTGTGAGAATAAACTGAATTCCACAAATGGAATAACAGCAACAAGTTTGTCAGTTTTGTACTGGATAGAAAAGTCACCAAATTATACCGTTTCATCCTCCATTTACTTTTTCTGTGTGTTTTTGTGTTGTTTGAAAAATTGCAATAGTGGCCAGCTCAATCATGGAAGGTATCTGTCCCTTTTAATATATTTGAACGCTCTTAATTTTTATCTCTCCTTTGAGCCCTGAATTTCTGCCACCCTAGTGTTGAATTGTCAGCATTATTTAATGATGCAACCTCCATAATGCTTGCAATGAATATCTTCAGTCCTATGTCTCAGTAACTATTTCTATTGCCTCTTCTTATAGGCTACTTTAAAATCTGTTTCTTAAAAAGAGGGCCTCCTTTCCCACAGTTGTTTTAGATAAATAATAATCATCAGTGAACTTCTACATTATGGTTGCTATCAATACTTGTTCCGGGCCCTTCGCAGCCAGCCGAGGACCAAGAGGGCTTCTCAAAACACTGTCATTCCTAACATTTCCCTTTGCAATTGCCCGAGGTCTTATCTTCTAACAATTCAATTGTTTTACACAAACCTTTTTATTAGACTGGTTTGAGATTTAAAGTTGTAAAGATGTACAGTTTGCATGTACCCATACCCAATTTCCCCTAATATTACAATCTAACATTAATGATTCATTTGTCACAATTAATTAATCAATACTCATACATTATCTAAAGGCCATGCTTTTTTACATGTCTTTAGTTTTTACCTAATGTCCTTTCTCTGTTCCAGGCTCCCATTCAGGATATCACATTACATTTAGTTGTCGTGTTTCTTTAGGCTCCTCTTGGCCGTGACAGTTTTTTAGGTTTTTCTTGTTTTGGATGACCTTAGCTGTTTTAAGGAGTACTGGTAACAATTTGATTTTTACTTAAGTTAATTTCTTTCTCTACTAGATGTAGGACCAGTGCTGTTTACTGAATTTCAGTGACTTGTTTGTTTTAGTTATGATTTTCTAGCCGAGAAGCTTGTTTTACTAATATACTTCTTTAGATTTTATCTTTTGGAAACTGGCATAGTGAGAGAGATAAAACTAGTGAGTCTGGGTCTATCAAGAAAAAAATATTTATCTTCCCTTGTTGGTTAATCCCAACCTATAGAACATCCTCTTTAGACTGATGTAGAGATAAAGCCCCACTATATTATCATTCTGCCTGCCTCATTTTGTTCCGCCTTCCAGTAGAATATGAATTCATAAATTCCTCAAGCATGTTCCCTCAGGACAATGGTAATATATGACTTCCCCCTATAGTAACTATCATTTTGAAACTCACTAATGATTTGAATATTTTGCAATGATCATCCTAATTTTTTCCCTTGAACATGTCCAAGTTTTCTTGTAACCAAATGTCACAGACATCCTAATCTTCTAGGTATATTTACTCAATTATTCTTACAAGGGATCTTCTATTTTCAGCTTTCAAAGATAACCTCCATAGTCATTTTTGGATCCTGGTTCCTTCCAGCACAGTTATTCAGTCCTGCTGTCATTATTTCTGTCTTAGCAACAACTAAACAAATATCTCTCCTTTTCTTCTATCTCCTTAGAGCTGTTAGGCCTAGTTCAATTCTTCTTCCTTCTATATCTGACTGGTATTGTTTGTCAGATATAAAAGGAAATACTTGTCTAGTCTGCCAACTAAAATATCATTTTTTCCAATAAGCAACTCTCTTCGGCTTATTTAGTAGTCTTCTTTTATTTTGTTTTTAACTAATAATTCCAGTTGCTGTTCAATTTCCTGAAATAACTTGATTCTAGAGTTAAAAAAGTACAGGCTTTTTTTTTTGCTAAGAATGTTTTCATTTTGTTTTTAATTGATACATAATAATTGTTCAGATTTATGGGATACTGTGTGATGTTTCAATACACGCATACATTGTTTAATGATCAAATCAGAGCAATTAACATATCTTTCACAACAAACATTTATCATTTTTGTGGTGAGAACACGCAAAATCCTCTCTTCTAGCTATTTGAAATATACAATACAGTAGATAACCACTGTTCTACTCTCAACTTCTATGAGATCAACTTTTATAGATTCCACACGAGTATGATTGTACAGTATTTGTCCTGTGATTGGCTTATTTCACTTAACATAATGTCCCCTGGGTTCATCCATGTTGTGGAAAATGGCAGAATTTCATTCTTTTTTATGGCTGAATAGAATTTCATTGTGTATATATACCATATTTTTTAATCCATTCATCTGTTAATGGACACTTATGTTGATTCCATATCTTGGCTATTGTGAATAGTGATATAATAAACACAGAAGTGCAGATATCTTTTGACATTATTGATTTCATGTCTTTTGGATATATGCCCAGTGTTGGGATTGTTGGATCATATGGTAGCTCTATTTTTAATTTTTTCAGGAACCTCCATATTATTTTCCATAATGGCTGATACAGGGCTTTTCAACTGCCTTCTTAGACTGGGTTTGCAACAACTGAACTTTGAGCTCTGTTTACTTCATCTCAAGAGGATAGCATATTCTGTTCATAATAAGGGCTTTCATTCATTATTATTTGTTTATTTATAAAATTCTACCACACATCTCTGGAAAACCCATAACATGGGTCTCTGAAATTGGGATGTATAGCCAATGTTTAGTCACTTAACACAACTCTATCCAACTTGAGGCCACATAGTTTATTCCTTCTACACTTATCTCTCTTTGTCTTAAAGTCAGGTGACATGACATGAAGATGAACAGAATGTGAAACAGCTGGAATAGCACTGCCTACACAAACCTGGTACAAACTGCAAAGCCAGAACCTCATTAGTATTCTATAGAATATGCAAAACTCAGCTGCCTTGCAGTTTAAAAGTAACAAATGTTATTCCTTACGAGTACTAAAAGGACTAATCTCAACTCAGCTTTACCTGAAATACCAGGCTAAGCTGAGACTATGAATTTTCAAGGTCTTGCTGTCACAGTCTCACCTAAAGGTATCTGTATCCAAGATGCTGAGGTCACCTGTATGGCTAAAGTTTGTCTAAGGCACAGGTGCTTGCAGCCTTGCCTGAATAAAAACTGTCACTTTCCTAGGACAAAGTTAATATGCTCCAGTGACCCATCAAAGTCAAAATCCCACCTGGCCAATTTACTAAAGCCTGAGGCCTAATGCTACCCACCCAGGGTGCATGAGCTAAAAAAAAATAATAATAATAAATTGTAAAAAGTAGCCATATGGCAAGCTATAGAAAGTTACCACCTACCAAAGTAAAAAAAAAAAAAAAAAAAAAAAAAAAAAAACATGACTCCCACTTCTATTCCTACTTGGTGAAACAAAACCCCGAGGCCATTCTTTTGGATCACTTAGGGTCTTGCTTCAACAAGATGCTTCAATCTCCACAGTTCCCTTTCTTACCAAATTCTGCTCCTTATCTATTGCCAAGTTGGCTAGTCCAATATATGAGATTTGAGGGCTTAAAGATTTAATATACAACACTCTTCTCCTCCTGTTGAAGTTCAGAACCATCTGATAGCTGATCAAATGAGTCAGAAGTATGGAGATGCCAGTTTTATTACTGAGGAAGCTGTTGGTGTCACAGCCTAGATATGTAGCCAGAAAGCCTTCCTAATACAGCCCCCATAGTCAGATCATCTACCATATATTAGAGATAAAAACAGAATACCATATTTTATCTAATAAATGACATCAGGTTCATAAGACCTGCCATTATTTTGTGCACCAAGAGAGAAATGGACCTTCCCTGTCATTTAAATTAGGACCTTCCATTAATAAGATACATGCTTTGTGTGGGCAGATCCCATGCGAAGTAAGTAAAGAGAAGCAGTTAAGTTGTACAAGCCCTGTTCATTCTCCCATGTATGTTAGTTGTATGATAATTGACTCTTCTCCTGAGGAGCAGTGAATGAGAGGGCAAACAGGCCAGTTAGTGCTATGCTTATTCTTGAGTGTTTGGAAATATAAAACAAGGAAAAAAGAGATTCCCTCGCCCAATCAAAAATTAATGTTGTATTTGAAAACAAAAAAGAATGCAACACTAGAGAAGATTACACTTAAAATAATCTCTAAAGGTTTTTAATTGGAAGAAAACCTTGTCTTTATAGAATAAAAGTTCCACAGAAAAAAATTCTAAGTATGAAGTAATATTTGTTTTAAAAAACTGAAAACCTTATTACTAAATGGAAATTTCAATTTTATGAGAATAATTAAAGCTAGTAAACATTTTGGAACTACAATAAGCAATTTTCAGACATTGAATCAACATTTTATATAGTCAATGGGAATAGGATCTAGAACTTGATTTTACCAGAACAATACAATTTCATGTCTTGCCTAATAAGATTAGTCAGTCTTGACTATTTGTTTGTCTGAATTGTCTCATAGCACCTTTTCTTTTAGATCAGAGATATTACACTTTCAGTATGTATAACAAAAGCAGATTGCTCATTTTCTACTTTGTATTGACTTTTAAAAGCATGCTTACTTAGCATTGTGGACAAAAGGACATTCAGGGGCCCAGTGAAAATCAAAAGCAAATTAGTAACCAAATGATGAAGACTGAAGGACTTGGAGGTATAATATAAAGGAAAGACCATAGCTGTTGAGGGCACCATCTTTGGAGTCACACAGACCTGAGCCCTAATCCTCCCCCAGCATTTATTAAGTGGGCAAGCTACTTAATCTCACTTCACTTCAATATTTTCATCTTTATAAAAGTAATAATAATAATCATAATACTTCCCTCCCAGGGTCATTGTATGAATTAATGAGGCAATATATGTAAGCCAATAACACAGTGCCTAACCCATAGAAAATGGTCAAATAATAGAAATGCTTATTTTTCCATTCTGGGATAATACATAACACAGAAACAGCTCCCACACAAGATGAACACTGTTTTACCATTGTATCAATTCATTCGTGTTTTTCAACACTTATTTCAGGCTCTATGTCTTCCACACACAGCGTAGGATTGCACCTCCGACCTCTCCACCCACCTAATCCCCTGAGTGGTGGTTGCTGGGATTCATTATGCTACTGAGTTGTACATAGAATCTATGAGTGTCTCTTCCTGGAAAGAGTATTTAAGTGCTGATGTGAGACCCTGTATATCTTTTGTTCCCTTTGCCACAGCTGGCAATGTTTCAGATGGTGGCTGCTCCATCAGCCTGGGTCCCAGACAAAGAACAACATGAAACAGTGCTCCAGCAAACCCTCAATCAACAAGTAGCAGGAGTGTTGTTTTAAGACAAGAGATTTGTTTATTGCCACAGCAGAATTTAGTCAGTTCTGACAGATACACCTAGTTAATCTCACCTCTAATACATAATTACATTATCACAATTTACATTTCAAACTTTATATGTTCTACAGCATCCATCTGTGGTGATAATCAAGCAGGGTATCGGCAATATTGTTGAAATTCACTCATTCAACAAACATGTTTCAGATACTGCACTAAGTTCCAGGCAAAGAATATTGAATAAGTGGACATGATACCTTTCCTCCTAGTTTACTATGAGGTTGATTAGATCATGAAGACAGGAAGATATTTCTCAGTAATGATATTACTACTTAAAGTTAAAACTAACCATGAAGAGGTTACCATTATCTGGTTAAGTCCTTAGTAGAGATGAGTTTATTTAATAATACTTTTCTTTTCACTTTATATGTTATCTTTTATTTTTTTCTTTCCAACTTTTTATTTTAGGTTTGGGGGTACACATGCAGGTTTGTTACATGCGTAAATTATGTGATCACATTTTTAATACATTACAAAGCTACTAAAAGTTAAGCCCTGTGGAAAAGATATGCTCAGCAGAATTCTGAGGCAGGGGGAGGTTTGGGTATAAAAAACAATCTAAATATAGAGTGCCCACAAACACAGAGTGGTTTGTAGTTGGGATGGATGCAGTCAAAAGGTATCATCCAGTGAACAGGGAGCAAGAGAGGTAGGGGGGAATATTGGAACACATACTGGATTAAAAATCAATTCACTTGATTGAAGTTCTGGCTTGACTAACTTTGCCATATGACCTTAAAGCCATTTATTAAGTCACTTAATTTCTTTTAGCTTTAAATTCCTCATCTAGAAAATACATAGAGTATGATTTTTCTCTTTTTGAGACAGGGTCTTACTTTGTCACCAGGCAGTGGTGCAGTGGTGTGATCTCGGCTCACGGCAACCTTCACTTCCCAGGCTCAATTGATCCTCCCACCTCAGCCCCACAAGTAGCTGGGACCACCACCATGCCATCACTGCTGCCTAATTTTTTTGTATTGTTGGAAGAGACAGTGTCTCACTATGCTGCCAGGCTGGTCTCAGACTCCTGAGTTCAAGCAATCTGCCCACCTTGGCCACCCAAAGTGCTAGGACTACAAGCGTGAGCCACTGTGCCTGGCCAATAGGATATGGAGATATATATATATATATATATATATATATATATATATATATATATATGTATATAATCTCAAGGAGTTTTGGTAAAATCTATAAGTGAAAGCATTTTGAGAGCTGAAAAATGCTATTCAAAGGAAGAATATTAATAATGTAAATATGGAAAGGTCTCTGAGGAAGACCATGAACTACAAATTTATCACAGCTATTCCTGCAAGAAGAAAAAGAATAGAAGAAATTAGCATTTTTATTTTTTAATGAAGTGACAACGTTTTTGAATGTTTTACTTTGCCTGAATGTTTTACTTTCTATGTAAACTATCAGGGATACAAGGATGTTCCTAGAGTGAAGTTGCTCTTATTCACCTGCATTCTAATATCCTCCTTTAGTAGAAGAAAAAGGAACAGAATTACAGATGACCATAGAATTCAAAATAACTCCAGATATACCTTTGAGAATGACTACATCATCAGCCATGAGTTCTGGGCAGAAAAAAAAAAAAAGGTTGAGAGGCACTGTACTAGCTGACTTTTCTGTTAGCTGTTCATTGTTCTTATTTTGCAATTTTCTGATCCATACCTGTTTCTCAAACATCAATTTATGAAATCATACCCTTCTATACAGATAGGATGGGTAAGAGCAACTTTATTATTGGAGAAGAAGAAGGGCATTTGCATTTTCCTCCCTGCAAACTGTAAGAAAGACAACTTCTCATTATACTCTAGTCATTGTAACTAATGAGTATATTTATTCTGCAACTTTTAGAATCAAAATAATTATGTTTTAGGAAAAATAATGAATCATCAAAGTGAAGATATGTGACTAACACATAATTTTAATAAATATTTCCCCGGAACTTTAATCCAATCCTTCTTTTCAGCCTGAGATATTCTCATTTGAGCAGTATGTATTTTTAAAAAATTTTGTTGAGATAGTAGAGCCATCATAAGTCGCTACTAATTTGACACTATATCTAATTGAAGTATCATGCCCTCAGTGACTAAATATCCACTACTAAACTAAGCTAGACAATAGAAACAATTACCTAATTAAGGATTTTACTCAATTACTAAGATCATTTAAACTAAATATGCTTTTTCTGAGAAAAACACTTTCCTGAAATCTTGAATTTATTCTATTGAATTCTGGTACAGAAATGATAGCAAATTCTAATGTCTTATATTTACATTTATATGATTTCTCCACCAAGAATCTTTCTTAAGATATCCTTGCACTAGACAAGAAAAGAAAATTTCTTCATTATTAACAAACTTGATTTTCCCTGTGGCAAAGGTTTCCCAATTAGGTACATTCCCCTTCACATTGGAAAATAGATTCATTTATGAACCTGGAGAACGTATTAAATATTGTTTAAATATATGAAATGTTAAAGAAAGAAATGAGGAGATGGGGAATGGGAGTTTTTTTGTTTTTGTTTTTAATGAAAAGAATATTTTCAAAGTACCAAAAAATATCAAAAAGCAGAATATTGTGAATTAGAGTAAAATTATCTGAAATACAAAACTAAGTGCTTGTGACATCTCCCAGTCATAAGGGCTGTGGTTGGAACATTCCTAAAATTAAAGCTCCATATTGATTGAAAACATTTCTCTGGCTGTATGTTCCATTATACTGAGAACTAATCTATCTTACATACCCAGAATATAGTACATTGCCTGGTACAGAGTAGGCCCTCAATAAATATTTATTATTGAATGAAAACATAAGAACAAAACTAGCAGAGGTATCTCAGTGTGCAGTCATGCTTTAGACATCAATATCTAAATATGGGCTAGAAAACTATCTCCAGTATAGAAAAGGTGTAAGAAGAGCTAAGTAGTGAGATTACTCCCTGAGTCAGACACTACTGGCTGGCTGGCTCAACAGCCAATCCCATTCACTCTCTTCTTTGATGCCTTGAACTAAGAGGTTAAAAAACTATTTACACAGTTTTCCAACCTAATTTGCAACTATAAGCAATCATATGAACTGATCTGGCCAGTGAGACATAAACAATACTCTGCTATGTGATTTTGAGAAAGATTATGCATTCTTGACACAAGGGGCAAATATAGCTTACACTGCTGGTCCTGTTTATTTCTGTCTCCTGAAGTGATGTGATAGCTGGACCTATAGTAGCAATGCTGTGACATAAAGGAAAAGACAGAGATGCTGGCCTTGACAACACTGAGCCACTGAAGCAATCTCAAAAGCTGCCTACTTTCATAGTCTTGGTCTGTGAAAATAAAGCTAGAAGACTACTATTTGTTTAAGTCATTACTAGTTGGCTTATGTGTTACTTCCAGCCAAAAAGCCCTCTTAATCATACACTCCCTTTCTCAAATACACATATTTCAAAGTTGAGTCTTGAAGTAAAGCATTCATGAAACAGCAGACTCTTGCCTTGGGTCATCATAATTAAAGGCCATTTGAGCTCAGGAGTTTATTTTGAGTTCTTTATAGTGGCCACTTGTACTAGGTCACTCTTCTTCATAAAGGACCTCTCTTATATATTTCATCATGTTACCTTTTTAAAAAATTGTTGACATGTCTACTTCGTATTATCAGAAGAGAAATATTCAAGGGTAAAGCTCTCCTCTTATCTCCTTGGTATCCCAGGTACTTGGCATAGTGTTTGGCCCATGATCATCTCTCATGACTATTACTTAAATACATATGCACATAACTAATCAGATATTACTTTCAGATGAATGGCTGATTTAGAGATGATACAATTAGTAAACCATCACTTCTGGGTATGAAAAATAGATTTGAATTGTCAGGAAGAAAATAATCAATATAAGACCAAAATAAATACCATAAACATGTTATATCTAAAATATGCAATAAAAACCTATCCCGAAATCTCTGAGAATAAATTTTTAGGTGGAAAAGCAAACCCAGTTAACATGCTTTCCTGTCTTCTGAGCTCCTTCAGTGTTTGTGCTCTGCATAATTTATTTACACTGGAGTCACAAGCCCAAAGTAACAGCAGTGATTCTAACACACATCTGTATGAATTAACCCCTCCAAGCAATGACTGTGCTTAGAGGATTTAACTCCCCTACAATGCTGATAATCTTTATCAGATCCTATTATCCCACCCCCAATCCTCAAAACAATTATTTGAGAAACCTAAAACTAAAAAGAGTTTGCATATTATGAATATATAGTTTGAGACAAAACCCCTAGAAAGGCCTTTCAGCCATTTAGTCTTTCATTCATCAGATGCCTACTGAGCTCTACAGTTTTAGGCAGTCAAGATAGGTAGATGGGTAGCACAAACACACCCCTCCTCCTGAAGTTTACAGTCTGATGAACCAGACTAACACTTCTAAACTTCTCCTATATAGAAATTCAGAAATCCATGCTATGTCCACGATTCCGTTTCCTCAATAAAATATGTCAAGGTGAACTTTTAATCTTTAAAGTTTAACTCATTCACTCCACAAATGTCTACTGAGCAAGCTTTCCCTCCTCACTGCCATCCTCATCATTTCCATAAGCACAGGGGTTATAAGGAAAAATATAACAGTCATAGTGCCTGCCGTCATGAAGCACCTATGTTATTTATAGAAGACAAATACACAAGTACTTCTATTACTGGTGATTCTTATTATCAAGTAATCCCCAAATTATATTAATATTTATTTACATTTATTTTTATTCATATTTGTTTATAATCAAAAATTAAAATGTCCCAAAGCAGCCATTTATGGGCTATAGGTACTTTAATATTTGAACATTCAAGTTTAGAACTAACCTTAATTCAGGTGTTAACTGTACAATATGCAGAACAGAAACCAAAACAAACAGTAAATAGACAAGGGCTACTCCTTTTATTTTTTCCTTGTGAGAATCAGGGGGAAAAATACAAAAGATCCAAAGCACTGATCAGAGCATTTATATACCTAACAACTGAGGCTCATAAAGCACCACAAAACAATTTTATTCTTTCCCCCCATTGCCCCTGCATATCCAGCCTATAGGGCTTGTCCATCTCTATTCCCTTGGATGTAACTGAAAATCAGTGACTCGACTTTCAGATTGTTCCCAGATAAAACATTCCTTCTTTCATTTCAGTAGAAAAAAAGAAAATGCTACAGACTCAAGTAAAATCAGGTCTAAGGCAGAGTAATAATTAAAACTCCAGTATCCACCTGAGCTAATGCTTCTCCCCTCACCCAGCCTTGGAAGGCAGCCAGATGGCAGCCTGCAGTAGGACCTGGCAGGCTCTTCTTTCTGCCCAGCCGGCTTCCTCATCCTCATCCTCCCTCCACCTTAATCAGCAGCTGGAGCTTTTGATCTCTCTGAATTGAAGAGGTCAGAGATAGAAGGTATAAGGAGACATGAAAAATCTTATTTGTCTAGCACTGATCTAGCATTGCATTTTCCTGGGCTTTGCAGGTGTTCAAAGTTGACTTTCCTGATCCCAATTTCCTCAGTTCTTTGAAGACCCTCAGGCTCTGGGGATCTCTCACTGCAGACTCTGACCTGATTCTGGCGAGGCATTCATGACAGGCCACTGACTACCCTACCCAAAGCCTCTGGTTGTCTGCATTTCTCCTTCAGCCTTCTACTACCACCCTTTATGTGAATTATAAAATGGTGGCACCTCCAGGTTGATGAAGTATAGACAGGTGCCCTCCCACCATGTTGATACAGCCCTATGCACAAGCCTGGGCAAGCAGCTCCTTCTCACCTCTCAGCCAGGAGCCTTTGTGCAGACCACAACCTACAAGGTGACATTACCACAGCCCTGTGCCCTTCACAGACTGTCTACTGGAATCACAGATTCTCCACCAAGTACTTCTGGGTAGGGGCTAAGAAAACACGTCTCCTGCTCTGTGCTCACTCTACCCAAATAGAGTACACAGGAAACCCATCCCTTTTGCCTGACATAAGGGCAAGTGCAGTCACTTGCCCTATTTTATTTTAGTCCTCTGAAAGACAGATTCAGACACAGTGTTTTATATTTCTCTGCTGTGAAGCAGTTCACTACATCACCCTAACTCCAACGGAACATAGCAATGGTTTTCCTATAGCAGCAGCACACTTCATTAGAGTTGAAGCAAGGAGAAAGTATATAAACCCTCACCCTGGGCTTGCATATTTAAAAGAACACCAAAAACTCTCTATGCTTGTATTCCCTACCTTTCTTTTAACTCTCTTATATTCCACATGGATTAGGGATACTCCACTCGAATCCAGCACAGGGGGTGTGACAACTCTTACTTTGGAATATGGAGTAATTGGCTCCTCTTTGCATGGAGGCTTCAGTCAAAAGCAAGACTAGAATACATTTATTTTTATATATTGCAACAGTAATTAAAATAAGAATTTACAGATGTTCTAAGGAGAAACGTATTTTTGAAAGAAGTTGAAAAGTGAATGAGGGATGCTTATTAGCAAATTAAAGAGAATTTTAGTATTATATATTTACAAGGACATATGTACTTTAAGTCCCCAGAATAGATCAGTCAATCCTATTCTTTAAAAAATTATACAGAGGAATTTACAGTCACAGGGCAGATGAAGCAAGTAAAGGCTGAAGCAAGAGGTATGGCCAGATGACTAGAAGGTTTAGGTAGCCATATAATTTAATGCCCAAACCTGACACTTTGAGAAATAAAATGAAGACTATGAATACATTCAGACAACAGATGTAAACCAGAACTGTTCTGCATAAATTGGATGCCTGATTACCCTATGTGACCAAAATAACAGTTCATTCCTGACTGGTAGTAGAAGGCAACAATGAAATTGATCTCTGAAGAAAAACAGAGGTTTGCTTCAAAGAGAACAGTGCATTTCTGACTGGTAGTAGAAACCAACAAAGAAATTGATCTCTGAAGCAAAATGGAGGTTTGCTTCAAAGAGAATGCTAGTGAGAGTAAACTATGGATCAGCATGGGGACATGGAAGCCATTTTATTTGTAATTAATGATGACAGTACTTCCATTTTCAACGTTTATTCTGGATGAAAGATGGGACACTTTACAGGCCATATTTATTTGTTTTTTGTTTTTGTTTGAGGTGGAGTTTCACTCTTATTGCCCAGGCTGGAGTGCAGTGGTGTGATCTTGGCTCACTGCAACCTCTACCTCCTGGGTTCAAGTGATTCTCCTGCCTCAGCCTCCCTAGTAGCTGGGATTACAGGCACCCACCACATGTTCAGCTAATTTTTTGTATTTTTAGTAGAGAGGGGTTTTCACCATGTTTGCCAGGCTGGTCTCAACCTCCTGGCCTCAGGTGATCCACCCACCTCAGCTTCCCAAAGTGTTGGGATTACAGGCGTAAGCCACCGCCCCCAGCCTACAGGCCATATTTAAAAAATCACTGTAAAGAAGTCCAAGTGTTAATGGTAAAGACTCCTAAGAAAAAACATCATGATTTAGTTACTCAAACAAATATAGATGAATTAGTGAAATTTAGATAAACTAATAAAAATATGAGCTACAAGGAGTGATCTAGATGCCCAAATACATGTGTTTCACTTGAAAAATATTTGAGAAACTTGATACATCAGATGTAATTAAGAAAAGGAACTAGGATTGTTTAGAAATGGAGCCCAGCTAGAATACTTGGGGAGGGTGTGAAGAGAGGGATAATGTAATCTCTTAATTGACATGTTACTTAGTCAGAGGTTTTTATTTAGACCTATCCCTTGAGGCTTTTAAAAGTAACTCGAAAACACACACACACACACACACACACACACACACACACACACACACCAACAAATAAACATTAAAAGCCAATCTATATTCCCGATCAATGACGAATTTAAACAGTGAAGACTAATTGCTTTCAATTAAATATGCTCAACAATTAAAATACCATCAGTTAACTATTATATAAACCAGGGATTTTTAATAGTAACTAATATTTATATGCTTCTTACATGGATTTACTAATCCTCAAAATAATTCTGAGGTATGAGCAATTGTTATTCCCATTTTACAGATGATGAAACTGACATATAGGCAGGTTAAGAAACTTGCCCAAGTTCACGCAGCTAGGAAGTGATGAAAATTCAGGATTCACATTGAGGAATTCCTTTGTGTGTATGGCGTAACGTGGGAGAGGAAAGAAGTGTCTCATCAGGCAATATCTGATAACAGACTGATAATTTGCCTCAGCATTTCAGCCTCTACTCACCACAAGCCTTAGTTAACAGCTAGATACAGACTATGGAGTGCAGTTTATCAGCACTTTCCGTTGTGCAAACATCAGCTACTTTTGTGTGTGTGAGACAAAAACATCAGCTCTCTTCTACTTCTCTCAATCCCAGCTAATTCTGATAAGGTCTTGGAAGCGCAAAATGATGTCTTCTGGAACGTTCTGAAAGAGACCAAAATCTACCCACACAGCTTCATGAGGATCTGAAGCCTTGCAGTGTATAAATCTTTATCTTTCTCATGTTCATGTCATTGCCCCTTGATATACAGTTGTCTATTGGGCAGACATTGTTAAAAGTAAATAAATTCTTAAAATTAAAATTAAATTCCTATAAAGATCTTTTTTTGGTGAACAATTCATGCTGGAAAATACTAATGAAACACAAAGGAAGAGGAATTTTGCTTGTACGTGGTCAATGCTATTGCATTCCAGAAAGAATACGTTGAAAGGGGGACTTCTAAAATTTTAGCATTTCACTATATAATAACACTTTATTTTTTAATATATTCAAATTTCTGGATCTAGTGGAGTTCACAATGAAATATATATATATATATATATATATATATATATATGCACATGTGTCTTTTAAATATTGCTGTCCCTCTAAAAGAATCAGTAGGTAAAATTATTTCTGTAGTTTAAAAGTTCTGGCTAGGTTACAAAAGACAGCAATTGTTAAACAACTTAACATTAAATATTAAAGACTAAATGTAGCATTTAAAGCATTAAGTTTAATTGTGTCTGGCTTCATATAATTCAGTCCTTGGTTAATACAAAGTTAGTATATTAGAGTACAAAAATTAATGAAGTTTCAATTTGGAAATTAAACAGTATGTGTTTCTAGACATAGAAAGATGCCTGGAATTTTACCTTTAGGATTTTATCTGTAGCTGGCAGCCTATTAAAGCTGTTTCCGCGTGCCTTTTTCTCTTTTGTGCCTACGTCACCGATTTAAGGTTCCTATTTATTTATTTATTTTTAAGAAGAAAGAAGAGGTTCTGTAGGAAACATTGACTGTATCCGACAACCATAGCAGGACTAGAGAAGGACCAATGAGGGGGTGCTGGGGGTAGCTTTAAGAGGCGAGGTGGTAGCAGAAAAGGATAAGAAGAAAGATAATTCAGCAGTCCCCTATAATCTTATTCCACCCAAGAAATTTGGGAGAATGCGAAAAAGCAGCAGCCCAGCATTCCCGGATGGGCGTGGCTTTTCTCCAGGGGCTGTCCAATTGAATTCCTTCAGAGGGAGAAGATTGATAAGGGTTGCTAGGAAACAGGAGCGTCTGCCTCCCGCCTGACCCAGAGATTGTTCTGCACAAACCCTCTCCAGGGGCTCGCAGTGTGCAGTTGAGTCGCGAGTACGGCTGAGCTGCGTACCGGCCTCCCTGGCTCTCACACTCCCTCTCTGCTCCCGCTCTCCTAATCTCCTCTGGCATGCGGTCAGCCCCCTGCCCAGGGACCACAGGAGAGTTCTTGTAAGGACTGTTAGTCCCTGCTTACCTGAAAGCCAAGCGCTCTAGCAGAGCTTTAAAGTTGGAGCCGCCACCCTCCCTACCGCCCCATGCCCCTTCACCCCACTCCGAAATTCACCGACCTTTGCATGCACTGCCTAAGGATTTCAGAGTGAGGCAAAGCAGTCGGCAAATCTACCCTGGCTTTTCGTATAAAAATCCTCTCGTCTAGGTACCCTGGCTCACTGAAGACTCTGCAGATATACCCTTATAAGAGGGAGGGTGGGGGAGGGAAAAGAACGAGAGAGGGAGGAAAGAATGAAAAGGAGAGGATGCCAGGAGGTCCGTGCTTCTGCCAAGAGTCCCAATTAGATGCGACGGCTTCAGCCTGGTCAAGGTGAAGGAAAGTTGCTTCCGCGCCTAGGAAGTGGGTTTGCCTGATAAGAGAAGGAGGAGGGGACTCGGCTGGGAAGAGCTCCCCTCCCCTCCGCGGAAGACCACTGGGTCCCCTCTTTCCCCAACCTCCTCCCTCTCTTCTACTCCACCCCTCCGTTTTCCCACTCCCCACTGACTCGGATGCCTGGATGTTCTGCCACCGGGCAGTGGTCCAGCGTGCAGCCGGGAGGGGGCAGGGGCAGGGGGCACTGTGACAGGAAGCTGCGCGCACAAGTTGGCCATTTCGAGGGCAAAATAAGTTCTCCCTTGGATTTGGAAAGGACAAAGCCAGTAAGCTACCTCTTTTGTGTCGGATGAGGAGGACCAACCATGAGCCAGAGCCCGGGTGCAGGCTCACCGCCGCCGCTGCCACCGCGGTCAGCTCCAGTTCCTGCCAGGAGTTGTCGGTGCGAGGTAAGGGTCCCAGAGGAGGACGTGTCCCTCTGGAGGGCGCCCAGCCAGGGCGCGGAAGCTCGGGTGCCGCGTGGGGCAGGCGCAGCCGGGAAAGTTGAGGTAGAGCATGGACCAGTCCCTACAGTCCTGACTGGAGTGGGAAGGGTGGAGGGCAGAGGCGATGTGGGTGTGCATGAGTGAGAGTTTGTGTGTGTGCGCCCACGTCTGTGTCTGGGAGGAGGGAGATTTCAGGGCATAGATCTGCGGCCAGGGTGCGAGAGGTGAAGGGACGAACTAGCACTCGCAGACCCCAGAGAGACCAGTCTCATCAGCCAACCACCTCCATCTCAGCTCTGGGCTCAGAATTTGTTTCTATTTGGGGGCTCCCTAAGGCTTTGTGCACAGGAATCCGTGGATACGGGCGGTTTCATGTGGGTGTGGAGGTTGCAGGCAGAGGTGGGCAACGGTCAGCGAGACCTGGTCCATGCAGCCCAGATAAGCTCCGAAGCCGGAGGCGGCCAGAGGTTTGCCCTCCCGCAAGCAGGGTTGGAAAGGAGCCTTAACTCACTGCCCTTTGCTCCTTTTGGCTTGAGTGAAAAATCGAAAAGCCAGACAGGGAGCATATCTTTTCATCGACCCTGTTCCATTTTCTTATCTGACAGTGAGATAACTCAGAGAGGGCGGGAGATTTGCGATCCAAAAATAGACTAGGTGATATATCCAATAAGCTTGTTTCTTAAGGATTTCATTTAAATTTCTTTCTAGTTATTCCTTGGGTTATCAAAGGTGGACAATTCTCTAAGGTACAACACTTTTAGGTAAATATATTAAGGAAGGATTCTCCCACTTTAAGTATTTTAGATATTGTAAATTTTGAAAAACAAAACTATACACCTCTAAAGATCTTTGGTTAAGGACTCAACTAATTTGCTTATAAAAATATTTCTACTATTTGAATAGTAATAGATATGTTTGGGGTCTATATGTAGGTACATATTGGAATATTCAAAGTTGAGGTTAATGTGAGTTGAGGTAGGTGTGAGTTAAGTACCAACAATAGTTCCTTAGAGTTTCTTTGCTTGAATTTCTTAGAACTGTCCAGCACAGCTACAGTATGTTTCTTTGTGGTGGGCGGGGGGGTGGGGGTGGGGGGGTGGGGGGGGGTGGGAGGGAGTTTAGGGGGTGGAGTCTGCTTTGGTTTATCTGATCACACACTTTAAGATTCCTCTCTGAATTCTAATTGTTTGCAGAAGTATATTCAATATAGGCATTACTAAAGTAATCTAGATTGCCACTATGCTAAACTATGGATAACAGTTCCTAACAAAGATGCTTAGGACACTCTAATGAATAAATATGATTCTATATTCCTACGTACCTTGTTTCTAAAATCAGCCCAATAGAATTTGAATATATTTGGAAGCTATTGTATGCCAGAAATTATTGTAATACTTTTCCTTTCACAATGGGTAGTGTTTTATATTTACAAAGATTTCTTACACCTGTAGACTTTAGCTGTCAATCTTATTGGGTTTTGATCACCCAGCAGGAGTACATAGATATTTTGAATATACATGCCCAAAGGCTATCTTATGTTCAGAGTAACACAGGAGCTCAGGATGGAAAATGAGGAAAGGAAGTCTTGAAACCTATACCTTAACAAATAAAACAATGAAATTCCAGAATATCTACCTTTATTAGATGAAAAAGAATATGGCAACAATACCTTTTAGCATTGAAACCCCTCCTGCCCCTAGATACTATATATCTAGGTATAAAACTGTGGTTTTATGAGTTAGGCCCTTACCAGTGAAATGTGAAACCTAAATCATAGAAAATTATGCCAGTACAATGAATAGGCCACACTTTGGAGCTTGAAACAGATGTCTTTCTATTTATTTAAATTGAATGGTATTTTTCAAACTTCAGGAATATATGATCAGTAACAAGAAAATGTGTGGAAAGCCACACACACAAAAAAATCTTATAATTAAAATATACTCTGTGACCTACTTATTTTTGCACAATGGGCTTTTTAAAAAGTTGTGGTATACATGTGAAAAGGAGTATAAATCCGATGATTTAACCCACAACTACACATATCAAAATGATGAGCTCATCTTTAATTTTATATCACTGTAATTAAAATTGGTAAGTTGAACAAATGCAAATATAACGAAATTGATTGAGCTTTATGTTTAAGTTGAAATTAATATTTGTATTGAATAAAAGAATGGGGATAATTGTCAAAAGCTCACTGCTTCACTTCTCTATGACAGGTGATTAGCTGGAATCACACAATTGAAGATGTTCTTATTTTGAAAGATTCTCAGCAATAACATTTTACAACTTCCCTGGGTACATTTTCCTCACTTTTATTTCATGTCGAACTATCTTTTTGCCAAATAAAACTGTTGTCTTTCTTGTCCATTCTTCTAATAGTGATCAGTCGCAAAATGAAGCATGAGGTTTTTCCAGGATACTAGCTACCTCCTGCCAAAATGTAGCACATTGGCTTGGGGGTGAATTTTCCAATTGTTTTCCTGCACTAAACATCATCCCAATATTCTACTAAACAAAAGAAATGAAAATGAATACCTAATCACTATTGTAAAACAAGGAGGGCAGGATTCAGTTACGCACACTGGAATGTGGCCAAAGTTCCAGCGTGAGACTTGTTTTCTCCAGGAGTAATTCTCAAAAAAAGGAGTACGTGTTTACTCACAGTTGTCTCACTTTGCTATTTTAAACTGAGTTTATTGTGCATTCTCACATCTTTTGAGACTCCACTAAATGGATCCAATACTGCATTAGATGAATTTGTTGAAATTGCTCCCAAGGAGGAGCATAAAATGATAGAAGATTATCTACCAAGTCTGAACACATAAAATGAGTATCATCATAGTAATCACTGAGACGGCAAAAACTATTAGCTCATACCCCTCCTTCTACTTCTAATGTAGGCTTGGTCCCCATAGCCTACTGTATTTTGGAGTACTTCAGTCCAGTCTGACTTTAAATGGATCACGTAATGACTTCTTCCAGAGTCTTTGAAAGACTATTTCAGTCTAATGGTTCTCCCTATTAAGAACTTTGTTGTGATATTCAGCTTAATTTTCTCCTGATTATATTTTATCTTGTTACTTAATTCCTATTATAAACCTTCTGGACTAGTTCATCCTCTTGTCTGATTCAGATTCTTCATCCAACATTTCTCTAGGACTTATAAAATACAAAAGCTTCACACAGTTACAGGAGAGAATACAAAGATGGCAATTCTATGTCCAGACATCTTTGCTAAATGTTTAAGACATTTTTTGCACACTTATATATGTGTATAACTATATGTTCCTAATAATTTAATTTACTAATGTAAGAATTAAGAAATTACCTTTTCTGATGTTAATGACCTATGTGAATATTAAGGTGGTACTTTCTGAGGAATGTTCTATGTGGATGCACATTATGAGACATTTTCATTGCAAATTTGTTTGCAACAGAACCCTGTCAACGCCCACACTACAAGGGAATTTTGTGACATGCTGGTCTGATGCTCCTCTGAGCCCCAGAAGCTGTTGTCATGTAAATTCCACTATTGAAATGAAAGTGATGTCCATAATTAATAGAATGTGCTAGGAATGTAATAGTGTATATAGTTTAGATGTGTATGTTAACAAAACATAGTAATTCTGTTAGGATTGGCAGTAGCCCCTTTATACTGAAACAATCTAAAAAACCCAGTGGAATTAAGGCCAAATTATTCACCGTGCTGCATTATGAAAAGTAAGCTTACATCATGCATATATCAATGTGGAATGTATTTCGATATATATGGAGGTACCATATGTGAAGGTTACTTTAAAAATAGAAAAGCCTGAAAAAAAAAACATAAAAAAACAGGTTTTCACTTTGTTCACTTGAAATCTTGTTCCAAGACATCCGTGTGTAGGCTTCTTTAAGATTCTTAAGCAAATATCTTGGTAGACTCACCATCCCACTCAATTGTTTCTCCAAGTTCCAGGCATTGAAATACAAGTTCTGCTAGACAGTAGAGGAGTAAATGATATAAATCAGGAAATAAGTTCCTAGGTTACACTTAGCAAGTCAAGAAAATATAAAACCAGAGGGAGGTGAATCAGCATCTAAAAACACCATTTAGTGCTATCTTACTGCTTGTTAAGCATTCGACGGTACATGGAAACACTCACGTGGATTAGGTTAAGAAATCAAGGAGGAGACATCTTTCCAAAACTTATTTTTAAACAAATAAAATTAGACTGCACGAAATAATTTTTAAACAAGTACTCTCCCTCCTGAGGTCCCAAAGTATTTTTATAGTGCTATTCATCACATAGTGGTGAGCACCCTCCAAATGATTTTCCTTAGAAACAAAAGGAAAATCAATTTTCTTGGTATAGAAAATGTAGGCCATTAATATACCTATAGCTTCTCTCTGGAACAGCAAGGCATCCAAAGAATCTGTGCCTACACAGAGTAAGTATTTCTTCATCATATTGAACAATCTTTTTATTGAACTGGAAATTGTACACTGTACTTTAAGGAGAGAAATAAACTTGGAAAACATTCTGATATAATCTACGTAGGCATAGATTAAGGCACCAGTTTGAAAATAAAGCCATATATAGAGAAGGCACCTCCACAAAAAGCCCAAAGTAACTCTGATCTTTAATTTCTTATCAGAATTTACTTCACTACTTCACTATCATTGACTGTATAACTACACACACACATATTTGAGTAAATTCAGTTGAAAGGGTATAGATATCTAAACAGATTAAAAAAAATCAAAACCATGATGCTAGATACATAGTTTGAAAAAAACTTACAACCTATATATGTAGCATGGGAATATTAGGAGTATAAAATTTGAGAAGATTCCTCTAAGAAAGAGTCTATCATCAGAAAGAAAAGGTAGCTAATAGGGAAACAATTAGTCAATAAATATTTATTAAGTACCTATTTTGACCAAAACAAAATATAGGACATGCATTGGGAACACAAAAAAATGTTCACACACAAAGTTTCACAAACATGTGTAAAGTTGAAAGTGCTGCAAAAATCAAACTTGAAATTTGAGAGTAGAGAAAATGTTACCAGAATTATCAACCAAATGAAAAAGTCTGTTCCTTAACAGATGCATTCATATTTAGGATTTTAAATGTGTGTATATATTCTGATGCCTTGTGGAGACAGTGTTGTATGCTGTGAGGTGACAAAACTAATAATAAGTCAAAATAATAGGTGATAATTATTAACCAACTTCCCTGTGTGAAGAACTCTGCTATACAAGAACTATACAGTACCTGTGAAGTAGGTACTGGGATCCTCATTTTATACAGAAGAGGAGATGGAGGCCCAGCAAGATAAAGTAACTTGCCCAAGTTCAGGTAGTTAACAAGGCTGCAACTGGAATTCAAAACCTACTTTCTTATTCTAAGACCTATTTTCTTTACTACCAATATTGCCTCACAATTTTTTAATTTATTTATTTATTTTAATTAATTTATTTATTTTACCAGGCTTCATTGCATTCAACAAGTGTTTTCTGAGCTCCAAGTAGAGGGACATGCTTTGGTAAGGAGGGCAAACAATAATCAATGAAAGGGAGTCTAGAATAGACTTCCCCAGGCTCAAGATCTTTCTCCACTCCAGACACTGTCCCTTCTGAGAGGCAGAGACATGCAAATGGAAGAAGTAAGCTAAAACATTATTTATAATTGACTAGGACTAAGGATGAAATTCTAAAATAGAAAAGTCTATGAAGATTATAAATGAACAAGCTGAGAAATAAACACCAGGTCTGAAAGTGTGAGGAAAATATATTTCTTGGAGTCTGATTTCAATGACCATTATCATCTGTAAAACTTAGTACAGTGGCAAGAATATAGTCTCACAAAAAGCCAGGATAGAGGTGAGTAGGATTTCTGCTGAGGCTAAAATGCTGATGTTTCTCTCCTCTTACAACCTACCTACTTCCCACCAGGAAAACAAGCTGGTAAAAAAGTTTTGTAGTATAGTAAAATTTTCAAATTTCTTTACCCTGCTGAAGTAGTAATGGTTCATCTTTATGTTAGAAAACTCTCAGCATTTTACACATCGGGACATTTATCCATAATATATACAACAGCATGAAACTGGAAGGGATCAGGGATTATGAATTTTAAACACACTAAGAATAGGAGATGCAAAGTGACCTGCTGGAGATTCCAAAGACTGTTGGTAGTGCTGCTCCAGGAAAACCCACATCTCATTATTCTCTGACCTCAGTGCCTTCCCACAGACAGGAAACCTGCTGTCTTAATTGCATGAGCTTATACTTCTTTTCACACTTCTTTTCACACAACCAAAGGGCTGAAACAAATCTTTACTTGAGGGTCTTTCTCTGATTTGTGATATGTGCTAGAGTAATTAATGGACATAAAAAAGGAACAGATATCACAGATCGCCCCTCCATCTGGTGGAGGCTGTTTCTTTTGATTGTTAATAATAGATAGCAGATAGATTATTAGTAATATTTGCTTAACAGTTTCAATGAACCATGTCTTGGTGAATACAACATAATGGAAGCTGCTTTTACAAAATATGTCAGAATACATGCCAATCTGAGAGATGGCACTACAAGGTCAAAAACGTTGGAATTTATATCTGCCTCAAGGAGAAAAGGATATCTAGAGAGTATAATTAACTTTCTACTTTGGAACATCTTGTTTTTCCTGAAAAAGCAGAGACCCTCTACATGCTTATGCATTAATCCCAGTGATTTCTGTGGAATCCACATATATGGACTGGTGACCAGTCCATACTATATTGGTCACTACTACACTGGTAGCCAGACCATACCTAACTTCAAAATTGATTAGTAGACAAGACATGAACTTAGATGTCTAACAAATCTCTTCCATAGATTTTGTTCAAGACGTCCCCTTGAAAAAAATGTTTTGAGGAATGCCAAAAGTCCCACTTCCCCCAACACCCAAAATATATTTTTCACTACCTTCCTTGGTTCATAAAATTTTCCAAATTTTAAACTGAAGTATTTCATCCAAGAAGTACTAAAGAACATATAGTTCTAGAACCACATAACGTACTAACCCTCCAACACATTCTGAATTTATAGGCTCATTTTTCAGAAAAGGTAACTTTACCAGTTTAGTAGGGAGTAGGTAGAATGAACAATTAATTTATTGAATTTTTACGTACTTCACGACCTTGTCTAAGACAAGCCCTTCCTTGGCTATGGTTTCCTAAACACTCATAATGCAGTAATTTGAAAGGAAACAAGCCTTCTCTTAGTTGTTGAACAAATGAAGCCCTGGTAGGAAAAAGATTGAGGTGTTAGAGTGCTCACCCTCTACTTTTTTTTTCTTCTTCTAAGGTCCTAAATTTGTGTTTGTTGCTATGTGATATAACAAGACAGGAAGGAAGATAATTTTTGTTTGTTTTTTGTTTTTGTTTTGTTGTTGTTGTTCTTTTTTTGAGATGGATTCTAGCTCTGTTGCCCAGGCTGGAGTGCAGTGACGCAATCTCGGCTCACTGCAACTTCCGCCTCCCGGATTCAAGCGATTTTCCTGCCTCAGCCTCCCAAGTAGCTGGGATTACAGCCGCCCGCCACCACGCCCAACTAATTTTTGTATTTTTAGTAGAGATGGGGTTTCACCGTGTTTGCTAGGCTGGTCTTGAACTCCTGACCTCATGATCCTCCCACCTTGGCCTCGAAAAGTGCTGGGGTTACAAGCATGAACCATGGTGCCCGGCCAGTAGCCGATAGTATTAGGTCCACTTCTCATATGGAAAATGCTGGAACATTTGAAGTAGGAAAGGGTAAGAAAATTGAAAAACGAAGAATAGTTAACCTCTCCCTTTCCTTTATACTCCCCCATGTATTGAACAACAACAACAAAAATCATCTATTTACCTCTGCTGTAAATAGTCTGTGAAATTATTGCCCAGAGAGCCTGCATTAGAATCACTTTGAAGTTTACTTAAAATGAAGAATGCTGGGACACATGCATCCCAGGCTAATTGAAACGAATGTCATATAGATTGAAGTTTTGGAATCTGCATAGTAAGTAAACTTCTGATTATTCTTGGGATTTGAGAAACATTGTTGTCTTAGTCTGCTCAGACTGCTATAATGAAATACCATAGACCAGGTAGCTTAAACAACAAACATTTATTTTTCACAGTTGCAGATGTTGCGAAGTCCATGATTAAGATTATAGCAGATTCAGTTCCTGGTGAGAGTCCTCTTCCCAAGCCACTTTTTTACTCTGTGCTCCCATAGCTGGGAGGAAGAGGAGGTGCTCTGGGCTCTCCTCCTCTTATAAATACATGAATTCCACCATGAGGGCCAAACTCTGATGGCCTTTTGTAAACCTGATCATCTCCCAAAGGCCCTGTTAGTAAACGCAATCACATCGGGAGCTAGGGCTTCAGCATGTGAATTTTGGAGCAACACAAATATTCGGTCCATAACAATTACATGTAGAATGATGGTCATACACAGAATATCCAGTGAATTTCTTTTACCAAATTACTTTCCACAGCAAGTTCATTCTAATTGGATTAACCAGTTGTATAAAGTACATTCTACAAGCCTGAGTACTAATTAAGCTCAACTAATAAGGCACAGTTTCTATAAGTTGTATGAATAGATTTTCTAGAAATGTCCTATTATCTTCGTTGTAAAGGAAGTTTTCCTGTTACCTATAGTAAGTTCCCATGAGATATGCAAACACATATAATAATACACATCTTTTGGATATTCTTATTCGGAGACTTCCTCATTTTTAATCTTTTATCCTGTATTTTATCATTATATTAATATTAATATATTAGAAAGAGAAGTTACTGGTATTTGAAGAAGTTACTGATATTCTTATTAGAAAACCTTCTCACTTTTAATATTTTATCCTATATTTTATCATTAATATTAATATATTAGAAAGATAAGTTACTAGTGTTTGAAGATTATCATTAATGAAAAGATTATTTCTTAGAAACTCTCCTCGATTTGAATAACTGCACTCTTAAAATTCAAATTGTCTTTATAGTTATGCCCTTATGAGCTAGGGGATGTGGGAAAACTTCTGTCACAACTCTCCCCACTGCCCTCTAGATCTGCAGCGTGGGGGCAGGGGAAGGACCTCATTTGGCAACTTACACATTCTTCACTCAGCGTCCACTTCGTTCAAGTGAATGGTTGCTTAGCTAAAGCCGGCAATCCTCACAAATACTGCCAAAGATAGTTTCCTAAGCAGCGTTCAGAGCCACATGGGAAAAATGCCGAACAGGAAGTGAGGGACTGGCAGCAGGGAGGGGGAGGCTCAGCCTGGGCCACCAGCTTTACCTCCCAGGGGTTTTGTGCTCCCTCTTTGCCTTCACTGGAATGCTACACTTAGTAGCTGACTTCATGAAGAGAAAAGCAATAAAAAACAGAGCACACCCCCACTCTCCCAAATATTTTAATGGTTTGAATTTTTTAAGACTCAGGAATCTCAGAGACAAAACTGTTAAACTGTTGAAAGTTACACCGTGTCTCAGCAGAGCCTGGCTTTCTTGACCGTTCTGATGGTTACAGTACTTCTACCTGATGATGTCACTTCTACTGGACTGTCCCACTCACACAGCAGTCTCTACGTATCTAAAGCCAAAAGCCCACTGCCTCCCCCAACTAGCAACTTATTTTCTGATTCTAAGAGAAACATGATTATTTCTCCATACAATCATTCAAAATTGTGGAACTGCCCATGACATTTTTCTTCTGTTTAGTCCTCTGTTGATTCCTTCCTAAATGATATGGCAACTTCTTTATTCTCCTACCACTGACAAAACCTTAGCCCAGGTTATCATCACTGTCCTCTCAATCTTTAACCATTTATCTCCTTCGTTCTCTCTCTCCTTATACAATTACTTATTCATCAGAAATTTAATGAGTGCCTACTGTGTGTTCAGTCACTGTTCTAGAGATATTATAGCATGAACAATAATGTAGAAATTTTTTTTATATTCAGCTTACACTAAATAGACAATAAACAAGAGAACAAATACAGTGTGAAGAAAATAGAATGAGGGATGTACAAAAGTGAGAGAAGCTGGAAAAGGAAGTATTGCCACCAGATTAAACTTGATGAATAACTGGTTTTTCCAGGTGTTAAAAGCATTAAATATAAATATCACTTAAATGTAACTTCCCAGCGTGGCCATTAAGCATTTTACAATCAGGTCCCTGGTGTATCTTTCCAATCTGTCATCCTCAACATGAATATCTAGTCTACCCAGACCTTTCTGTTTGCACCAAATACACACCTGAGTGTCTTTGTAGTATGATTTCATTTAGAATGTGTTTTCTTCCTCCTTTCTCCAAACCTATATTTAAGTCCAACTTCAAAGTTCTGCTTAATCTAAGTTCATACTAATGATTTTTTATCTGTTTTACCAAAGAAATTTTTATTCAAAACATCCATGTGGTCCTTACTGTAGGTAGGCCTGATTACTAAAATATTGCTTTGGCATAAGTAACAGGTAGGTAGATCAGTAAATTGTGGAATAAAATAAAAAAGCAAATTTATTTTTATTTCTCACTGCCCCTTTAAAAGGTATTCAGTAAAATATATTACATTTGTGTAATAAAACAACAAACCCTAACTTGCAAACAGTCTCAATTCAAAAATTAGTATGCCTAGACCAATACAATAATTGAAACTTTGAGCGCTAAAGTTGAATCTTTTCTCTATCCCCAGCAGGAGCCTCTTTCAAGTAAGAAGCTGAAAAAGTAAGCTTAAAAGTCTTATGGGTTTCATCCACCCTTCTTTGTCACTCTTACTAACTCAAGTTCTGAATCCTCCAAAGTTAGGGGTGGAAGGTAGGCGAAAACAAGATGGTTATAGGAAAAAAGTTCCTACCTGACAAACTTCACACTAGACCCCAAGATTTTTAAGGCTAACTCTGTGTGTGTGTGTGTGTGTGTGTGTGTGTGTGGGTGGGTGGGTGTGTGTGTATGTGTGTTTACTTCTCTCACTATTGCTGAGGGTCTCTCACCTCAGTTTCCTCGACACAAATTTTCTTTCATCTGACCATACCTCCTCCGTTCCTGCTCTTTCAGCAGCTCACTGCAACAGACTCTTACTTTGAGATTCCCATTTCCCTTCCAGGCCTTTCAATTGGTTTGATTCCTTTCAGTAGTGACTGACCTTCAGTCCACAGGAAACAGTGACATAATATTACAGGAAAAAATTCTTAGCATGTGGGCCAGTCCAATGCAGCAATCTCTCTTCTTCACTTCTCCACTGCCAAAGCATCAAAGATTTAGCTGGTCCTTCTCTCATCCTTCATTATTTCCTAGCCTGGAGTAAGGCCCAACCCATTTTGTGACACTATACTATGTTCTTTTTTTTTTTTTTTTTTTTTTTGAGACAGAGTCTTGCTGTGTTGCCCAGGCTGGAGTGCAGTGGCACGATCTCAGCTCAGTGCTGCAACCTCTGCCTCCCGGGTTCAAGCAATTCTCATGGCTCAGCCTCCTGAGTAATTCAAATTACAGGCATGCACCGCCACGGCTGGCTAGTTTTTGTATTTTTAGTAGAGATGGAGTTTCACCATGTTGGCCAGGCTGGTCTCAAATTCCTGGTTTCAGGTGATCCACCTGCCTTGGCCTCCCAAAGTGCTGGGATAACAGCTACCTTGACTGGGCTTTGTGATGCTATATTCTTTGGTATACATAATTATTTCCAATTTTTGTGAACATATTTGGACTACAGGACATATGAAATGTAATACGCTCACTTGCTTAGATACCTGTTGTTTTCTACTTGACTAACACCCAGATTTAGCAAAGTACCTAGTTTCTAATATATTTACTCATTGAATGTATGAGTGTAATAATACAGCTTAAGTTTAAAAAATTACTTTTTATAACCAAGAAAAATGTTTCTATAGGGGGCTACCTGTATAAAGACTTATAGGAATCAATGTCTACAAAATAATATAAGATGTGGCTAAAACATTTGCTGGTTTTTCTGACTAGAATTAGCTCCCAACGAATAAAGATCTTGTCTGTCGTTTTTAGCAGAGTCTATAATAATGCATATAATAATGCATATTTAACACATATTTAATGAGAAAACATAAATTATCATGTTAATATCTTCCATTAATATGTTGTACTTTAGGAATTGTGATAATCTTAATTTTAATCCATAAATGGTGCTATTCTTCTGAAGGCATTTTCGATCTCAAATAGAATAACTTTATATAAAAGTTTAAAAATTTAGCTTTAAAAAGTGACATCAACCTAATGACATAAATCTTTAATGAGCATCTGCTACTTTCAAGGCACTGGGCAAGGTACTGAGGAGGACAAAGAAAAGAATAAAACACTTTGCCTGCCCTTAGAATGTAAAATCTTATAGGAGAGATGAGATATGTGCATGTGTACCTACAGTAACAAGAAAATTCAGGAGCTTGGCTGTGAGACCCCTAAGTGGATAATAATATTTCTGTTTGACATAACTGTAGAAGGTATAATGAAAAATTTACTTCTGTCCTGGGCTCTAAAAAATTAGGATTTCAGGAAGTGGAGGATTTCATTCTAGACCTATGCAAAAGCAGAGAGCTAGAATGTGGGATTGAATTGTGGAGCATCATGTAATCTAGCTTAGTTTAAGGTTAGAGTGTATGGGGGTCAGGGCAGAAGATAAAGCTCTCAGAGCAGATAAAATGATGGCTAACATTTCTCCTGTAGGCAGAGGAAAATCTCTGAAGACACTTGAGCAGGGGAATCTGAAAGCACAATGTGAAGATAAATAGGAGGAAATAAAGGTTTGGGAGGCAGAGAGATGAGTTGGCAGGTTATGGCAACAGTCCAGGTGAGAGGTAATGATGGCCTAAACTAGGGCAGTGGCAATGGGAATAAGACACATGGAATGAATCTAAAAGACATAAAGATGAATAGTGCCTGGTAGGTAGGAATTAGCTTCTGGGCAAAAAAATACCAGCCAAAACAATTAAGCTAATCACTTTCCTTCTTCTACAATAGAAAAGAGCATGCTGCATAAAATCCTTAGTTTAATAATGGAAAATGTGGGAGTTGTCTTTCTTTTAAGCTATTTTTCATGAATTTGGGTTACAGGAAAATGTAACAATCAAAATTCTAACTCTCTGAAAATAAGACTTACAAAACAAATCAATATTTTCTATGTGGCTATTATTTGATTGCATTTATCTGTAGATGGGAGGTTAAGCCAACATAGTCTCTCTCCAGGGCTCTGCAAGAGCCACCTACTGGCTTCCTTGACCTTCGTCTTATACCCACCTCTAAGTTCATCCACATGGCTACAGCCAAAATTATCTTTAAGAAATACAAATCTAAGCATGTCATCCTTGCTTAAAACTCTCCAAAGATTTTTTCTTTGCTCTTGCTATAATTGAGACATGGTTTACCTGGCCCACAGTGATCTGCATGTGTGTCGAGATTCATGTCTCATCCCTTTGCCCTTACACTTGTTGTTCCATCCTTCCCTCTCACTCCCCAGGCCTTCCCACAGGCTGTGAAACTTCCTAGTGCACTGGTCCACTCCAACCCCTTCAGGGCTCAGTTTAAATTCTATACTACTTCTGACCTTCTATAGTAGGTTGGTTCTTCTTGCTATGTACTCCCCAAACTCTCTGTATTTTCCTTCATCACACTTTATTATAATTGTCTCTCTCCCCACTGTAGTCTATAAGGGGGCTAAAAAGACAGAAGTCATGCCTGCTCACTTACAGGTGTATATTACCCAGCAAAGTAAGTACTGCATACAGAAAATCAATAGCTTTTTATGGGGTAAATTGAACAGGGGTTAATTAACTCACTCTGGAGCAAATTTTCCTCATCTTTAAAACTGGGGTATTGTGTTTTATATTCCTTTTAGCCATATATTTTTATAAGTAAACTTAAAGATAAAATTCAGCATCCCAAGTCAGAGTCAGTACCCTGTTATACTAAAAAAAAAAAAAAGTAATTAGGTCTTATTTATACATTTAAATTGCTGTTTAATAGCAAGGTTATTAATAATGTTAGAAATGTGTTTTGTTATTCCTCAACCTGTCCGCATTTTGAAAACATTTTATCTGTTCATCTTAAGCCATGTGGTATGAGTAACAGGAAATAAACATAACCATAAAAACGGAGTTGAGTAAATGCCCCAAGAAAGTCAACATTGAGGCAGATTTTGTCCTTTCTGAATTCTGATAAAAGCACATTTCAGACATTTTCATAGAAGACGATTCTTGAATCCCATTTGTTAATACTAATTCCTACTAGTGCCAATAAATAACACCCCAAGGTATTCCATTAAATGCAGTTTGTGGCAATATTTCTCAAAATGAATGCGGTTAACACACATCCTCTACACCATTTTTAGAAGAATGAGAAGATATTGTGAATAACAATAATTTTTATTGAATGTTTACATATGCCAGGCACCGTTCCTTTTGCTTTATCTATGTTAACTCATTTAATCTTCATGGTAGCCCTATGAGGATTATGCTATTATGATCCCTATTTTATGGAAGAGGAAAGTGAAGTACTAACACAAGGTAACATAGTAAGAGGATAGCTAGGATTTAGATCTGGCATTTGGCTCCAGAGCTTACGAATTTGACCAGTTGAATATATTGCTTCTCTCAGGAAAGCATCCCAAAACTGAAATGTAAACTATGCAAAAAACAGTTGGAATAACTGTCTCATATTCCTTGATTTGAAAATGAGAAACATGTTAATAAAGTGACATTGAGCTCTTTTTTAGAAATGGAAGTTAGTAGTATAGTCAAATATTGTATAGGTTTTTGAGCAGAGTGTATCTAATTACTTATGCTTCTTATTTTAACATAAAATCCTCTCATTTCAATAGCTGGAAAGTCAGCTGTCATGATAATAATTACATTTTAAAGCTTTATTTCTTTACAAACTATTTGTTCTTTTGATCTCCAGAATTTGTCCAGTGCTTGAAGATATTTTAATCTTCACATTAAAAGAGAAGAGGGTGAATTTGAAGCAAAAAAACAACAAAAAATCACTTTTCCCAGAAACAAAAAGTCTCAGATTCCTTTGTGTAAAACAAAAATGATTGACACGTTGGTGAAAATCATTGGTCAGGAAAGAAAACTGTCCTACTTTATTCTTTTACCTGTCCATCTAGCTATCAGAATAGTATATTTGCGTGTAGCTAATCCTTGAATTGATTTATTAAGCTATGTTTACAAGTTAGAAAGAAAGAGGTCCTGAGGAGATAATTACAGGAATACAAATCAGAAGAGACAACTTTGAAAGAATAGTAATTTTGCTTCTTGAAACTGACCTTAAATCCCTAGGAGGAGAACAGAACAGCTTAAAGCAACCTTTTCTCTCTATTCAGAAATGATTGCGAATTAATTGTGCAGTTTAGCTGAACTTTGCCTTTCCTTGTATCCTAGGAGAAGAGCTCTAATAGACTGGGAATTTTTGCTTGTTTGTAATGTAAACTCAATATCTAGAGATAGTTCTTAACACCACATGGGCTCATTGGAAAACTCTAATTCCCAAAACAAACAAAGAGGAAAAGGTTAGCAAAATAATCCACCAGCAAAAGGAAAACAAAAAACAGAATGCTTGATAATCTTTATTTTGATAATTTGGTTTTAAATAATCCTAAAGAAAGATCCCTGGTGACATCAGAATTCTGACTGCAATATCCAAACTTGCTCATCCATGAAGATGTATAAGGCTTGTGGGTTACATGGATTCATTAGTTGATAAAAAGCACTTAGTAAAAATTATATCTATTTTGAATATCAACTAGGCTATGCAGTTCTAGCAAAGAGGAGGTTTAAGCATTTGAAGATTAATCATGATGCTAAGTATTAATTTTGATAGTAAAAATTAAAGCATACTCAAATTGGATATCCCCATACACATATATACTATTTCAGTTAGCTAGTTAATGTTGACTTCTTGATCTTAATTCCAATAGCTTCCTTTATTTAGCCATGCCATTTTTGATTCATTCATCCAACAGGTGTTAATTGAGCACACATATTAAATTTGGTATTAGCTAGACACTGAGTATAGAATGGCAAGCAGAAAGCCAACAACAAATGAAAAATAATTCCTGTCCTCAAAGATCTTTCTTTACAATTTTAAAACTACATTTGAAGATTAGAAAATGGAGTATAAACAGCATCATGGTCTCTTATCTAATGTTTCAGGCAAAAATCAGTCAATAAAGTCTATAGGAGAATGGGCTTCCTTGGCTTCCCTGAGACCATGGACAGAGGCCTAAGAATCACCCCGAACAAAGTACTCTTTCTATTCTCTTAGTAACTAGATTTGCTTAATGCTTTTTGAAAGAAAAATATGATGCAATGTATGACACAATCATGATTATTTAGGGAATGCACTGGGAGTAGGCTACTTAATATCTTCACACATGTAAAAATGTCTTCATTTACTTTAACTTAGTGTACTTTGGTACATCCATCGATCCTTCCCAGAAACTTTTACTAAGCACTTTTTGTTATGTTGGGCCCTGCGGTAGGTGCTGGGGATCTGTCAATCTGTAGCTAATAGTTCTGTTGTACAGAAGTCACAGAAAATAAGCGAGGTATAGTGTTTAACTTATTAATGATCCTGTGCTTGGGATTTTTAAAAATTTACAAAGTACTCAATGGAATGTAGACTTCAAGAATCACAACTTCAGTGTTCTTTTCCTAAGGTTAGAAAAATATATAATTAAAGAAGCAAAGCATTCTTGGATAATTTTTAGAAGAAAAAATTACTCTGAATCAAATGACACTGGAAAATGTAGATGGGACCAATTCAATTTTTACAGAATAAAAAACATTTTTTCCTGCCAATGTTGTTCTGAAGTTAATTGCAAGATGTGTTTTTTAAATGACTTATCAAAAAACATGAAACCAATCAATAAGTCAAACAAGGCTAGAAACCAACATTAGCTAGTAAATTGATTTACTATTTATTATAATTCCTCCATAAAGCATAATAGGCACTTTACTTTCACAGTTTAATGCTTCTGTAATTGAGATATAATTCAATTTATTTGCACATCTTATATAATAATATTTTTTCCCAAAAACCTACTCATATTTATGGTGAATCTTAAAATGAATGGTATCAGGGTTAAAAAAATATTAGTTGCAAGCACACAAACTGCCTATCTTATTAACTATGTATTCCAAAAATAATTGCAAATGTCTTAACCAAATTTACTATTAAATGCTTCTTTTTTTGCTACAAATGGAAAGAAAAACTCTATTTCATGTATTTTTTTAAGTTCAAAATCACATGCTTTGAAAACACCTCATTAACAGAACCACAAATTATCTTTCAGTATTTTCATTATCCCTGCTTGAAAATAAGAATGGTATCTTATTAACCTCTGTACATTTACTGCAAGAAAAGCCATGTCCTGGTCATTTCTTTATCACTGAAATCTATAACAGTGCCTTAAAAATAATGACTGTTGAATAAGTAAGTAAAATAATGGAAGAAGGAATGAAGGAATAAAGACCTTGGACACAATGAACCCTCAATAAATATTTATTAGATTATAATGAGCAGGGCATATTACCATATTTCAGTGATAAAATTTTAATATACTTCTATAGTGTTTGCCTTTGTATCACCAAGAGGAAATTAATAGATTTTACTGATAATAAATTATTTTAATATTTGGTTTTATGTATATCTAAGGTCTGTATATTTATAAGAGTCTTATAATGTCAGTCATCGGCTCAAACATTTTTCTCATGTAACCAAATATTTTCATGATATTGCCTGTAATATATCTCCTTAATACTTAACTTTTAGAAATCAATTTCTGAAGCTATGAATTTCATATGAAACACAACCTTCTTTAGTAATTTGTCCAAACATGTTTGAACTTTTGTGTATCCATGTCTTTATTCTTTAGCATCAGCATACCTAACCCCAAATACTGATGAGAGCCACCAAATGTAGTATGAATTTTTAAAATGAACTTCTCCATTTAGATTTTTTTTTGCTATAGCTTCTTATTTCTCTTGTAGTCTTTTCTCTAATGAGTTAAAGCAGCACATTAAATTTAAAAAAACTGCCCCAAATTTGAGGCCAGTATAAAGAAATATATCTTAATACAATTGATGAATATGAAACTTTTTTTGCAAATCCTTAATGACCTTTTACTAGAAATTCAAAATTATTTATAAACTATTATCTAGTAACAGAGACCATTTTACTAGATCTCTCAGGGTATACATGAGAATAGAGAATCTCAAGCTGAGCCCTAGGGTACTTCTACTTATAGTTACACCTAGAAGTTACAGTCCAAAGAAACAGCAGTGGCCAATGAGGTAAGGGGTAGGCCAAGAGAAAGTGGTATCATGCAAATAAAGGGAAGAAGGTTTTCCCAGAACAAGGCAGTGGTGAACTCTACTGATGCTGCTGGAGGGCAAGTTAGATAAGAAAATTGATGATATCAGGCATTTAGAATCTTGATTCCAAAATCTGAGGTGATCAATGTGTTTAGCATCTTGTAAGCCATTGGAAGTTGCTATGGAGTAAGGAGACAAGCTGTTTGGAGGTAACTGAGAAAACGGGATTCTAAGTAGAAATAGTGAGTACTAATTTGTGTAGTTTTGCACTAATTGTGGCAAGCCAATGGATTCTGCAGGAAAACTTGGGTCAAAAGAGAATTTATAAATATTTATTAAATTCAACTGAATTATGTCTTTTTTTTGTTGTTGTTGGAGATGAGATTGAAGAAGTAGTCTTGGGGGCAGATCAGAAGGCTTTAGATACATCGTTAAGAAGTTTGTAAGATTTTAGGCTCAGAGCAATGGTAAGCCATTTAAGCCCCTGCCCATGTGGAGCTCATCATCTTGTGAGGGAGACAGAATAATCATATGTCTCAAAGAAATATTAAATTGAACTTATACATACTAAAATTAAGAGATAATGTTGTGAGAACATAAAATAAGGAGTTTGATATCAGTGACATCAGGTTTTCATGGGAAAAATGACAACTAAAGGATGAGTAGAGTTAACTAAGTGAAGAGAAAGAAATCAAGCTGTATTCAGTGACATGAGCACAGATACTGTGAAAGGAGAGATAATGGCACCTATGAGCAACTGAAAGGTCAATGTGGCTTGGAACCTTGAGAACAGAGAGCAGCACTATATTATGTTGAGGGTTGTTCTTATCCAAGAACAACAGAAAATCATTTTAGTACTTAAAGTAGAAATAAGAGCATCCATAATTTTTCTTTTTTTTAAAAAAGACCCTCACTGGAATGTGGAGAATGATGGGGGTTGAGGGGTCAGAATGGAACAGGTAGACCAGTTATGGGATTTTTTTTATTGTCTACAGAAGATGGTAGCTTAGACAAAGATGGTAGACATTGAAATAACAGGTGAATAAAGAAAAATTTTAGTAGTTAAAAATTGCAATGACTTGGTGGTATATCGGTTAGGAATATTAGATACCATCTTGATGTGTTTACAGTTGTTCAGGACATATATAATGAATCAGTTGAGCACTCAATAATAAGCATTTATTTTGAGTGCCTACTATTATGTCAATATATCCTTCCTTTTAGGGGAAGCTCAAAATTATTTATGTGTTAGAAGTAAAGATCAGATTCTAGACATTGTTTATCTCAATTGTTTTTGACACACTAAGAAAAACAAGCCAGTGTTGATGAATTTCTATTGTATCCTAGGGATTTTGTAACAAAGAATCCATTCAGAAGCTACACTAGGCTCATCCAAAAGAGATGACAGAATTTTCTCTACCCAGTACAGCTTGCACAAGGCTGGTGCAAGCAGATGATGGTTACGTTTGGCTGAGAAGCTCATAGAGGGTGATTCACCAACACAACTGCAAGATTCAACTGCATACCCACCTCCTCTTGACACATGTGTGCTAGTAAACCCAAAGTCACACATACCATTAATTTCACTCTTAATTAAACCTCCCAGGCCTAAGGGGTAGTGACAGCCTTAAACTTGGGAAGTTCTGGCCAGCATTATTCAAATACCAGAGAGGAGATTGCTTTTAAGATATTATAAACATGAGCTTTCTTATTTCTTTTTCTCAATTCTGAGAAGGATAGCTAAGATAAATTTTAGTCTTGCAATACAATAATTTTATTCTAGCTATCATTATTGATTGTAGTAGCTGTGAAAGTCTGCTTAGAGAGATACAGTTTCTATTAGTCAAACTATTACCTGCTACATGAAGAAATCTATTCTTTTCGTTCCGTTTTATTCCACTGTTACCAAATTGAATATATTTGAGAAAGAAAATGAGGTAAAGTAAATGAACATCGCATGTGCTCTGGGAGAACGTGTTATGAATCTCAATTCTATCACTTATAAGCTATCCTATCCTGAAAGTCATATTAAATTTCTCCAGACTTCAATATACTATCTACCTCACAATGTTGCTCACATGAAAATATAAGTATAAAAATATATTTGTAATATGAACTATAGAAGTACCGACTAGGCTCTGGCACTTGATAGGTGCTTATTAAATATAAACTGATTTCTACCAATGCTAAACCAAATGTGCACCTAGAGTAACATCCACTGGCATAAATTTCTTTTTCTTTGCCCTAGTAGTAACAATATCTTACTATCAATCACACTAATTCAACTCTTTCATAATCCCGTCTGCATGTTAATTAAAATACATCCATTAATCAAATGCTTTCTACTTATTTTTATGGAATTTTCCTTCTAGATCCTGCCATGCATATTATAGTCTTCTCTATAAACCATATGTTATACTTCTTCTGTTTATGAAGATTCTATGTGTGATCTAAAAGTAAGAAAATGAGAATTTTATATAAATTATCATGCGTTATAAGGAAGCCAAATAATGCAGAAAATTTCCTGGCTTCTTTTATGCTGAACTGTTGTAGCTTTAATAACTTCTGCACTGCAGTGATTATGAAACTAAAGCATATTTTTAAATGTTAACTCAGAGTGTCAGACGTTTACTTACATTAGGCAAAATCTTAGGAAGAACAAGTTTTAGGACTACACAATAATGTGGGCTGTTAGACACATTTTCTGTCATTCACATTTTGTGAATATTCTTACCCTCTAATCATTTTTATCTAAATTATATTGTAATCATAACTTTCTGAGAGTCATGAAGTTAGAAATAAGATGTTAATCTTAATTACAGGAGCAAGTTGAAATGTATTTTAACAAAAGCATGAGTTATTGAAAGTCAAATAATCCTTTAGAGGTTTTAAGCTTCACTTAATAAGCAGAAGAACCTAGGATAAAATTTTTGGAATAACCCATTTTATAGAGGGAAACAATGTTGTATCTCACTACAGAAAATGACCTGATTAGCTTCCCTTTTCTCAATATTAACTTCGGAAAATAGCTTACTTACAGAAGCAAATGGAATGATACTTCAAGAAGCCATGTTGCCTTTTCAACAGCCAAAAACTTGACTTCATCTACAAACCATCACCTTTTTCAGGATTAACATACTTAACCTTAAAGGTAACATAGTCTTTTAGAACTAATATGTGGAATCATGAATATGTTTATGGTATTTTATCAACTAAAAGCTAAGTGATGTTATGTAAGGGATTTTTATATTTAAAAGTAGCTATCCCTCTCTGGAAGTTACATGAAACAGAACTTGATCTTTTAAAGCCAGATGTTTTTTGTTATTGTTTATTTGTTTTCATTATTCAGATTCTCCAAATAGCTCTTCAAGTTTCAGAACGCTTTTTTTTCTAATGAATTCTAGGATCCAAACTAGCTATTTTTTTAATGAGAAAATTGACTTGTTTATGAAGCACATCTTACTAAAAAGATAGATTGAGGCACTGATGAGCTTAATGATATTTTGTTTGGACAAATTAGGAAACTAATTCGAGATGCAACCCCTGGTGAGCAGGTTCTTACCTGTTCTCATGACTTCTGTTTATCCCATATGGATACCTGTTCCTGGCAAGTTATCCAGTTAGTGAATTTCTTGCCAAAATTTACATCAGATATTTTGTTGTATAACTTAACTACCCAGAATAAATCTTTGACGCTAAGGTTGTCATAGGCGACTATGAAATAATATGAGTGGGAACATTTATATAAAGCATATTTCTTTCTGGAAGTTTGATCTCATTTTCAAGCTCAGTACCTCTGACAGGAAGGAGGCAGCAGGAAGCAACTTATCAAATCAAAGACTTGTGGATCTTCTCTATTGCAAATATCAAAATCCCTGAAAATTATTTTGTAAAATGACTGATGTTCTACATATACCAGGTAACTAACAATGCAGTACTTGCACATCTGACCTAAATAGTAGAGTTGCCTGACTGGCCCAGATTGTTGCAGAATTAAGGGCATAGAATAGTGGATGATTCAACCAGGTCCCTAAAGCAGAGAGAAGGGAAATACCTGTGGCTTAAGATATATAATATTATGTATTGATTGCTTTGCTTTTAGTTAAGAAATACCAGTGTATATCACAGTAAGAATCTCAATTTATCCTTTAGGATTGTTTTTTAGTTCTGCATTTTTCTGATTTTATCAAGTAGAGGTAGGCTATTACAATAAACACTAAGCAAAGCTTTTACTCATATTATCTCTCTATGTGACTAAGTTTTCAACATAGTCACAGCATCATATTCCAGCTACTCTTGGGAAGAATGGGGGTTCACACTGCATTATTTTGCTCTCAAGATATTCCCTGGAGTGGGGATGGACAGCAAAGGTAAAACTGAGTATGCTCTAGCAATAGAGCATAATAGGGCTAACAATCATTCTTGTGCATTGGCCCCAATCTTTTATATTAGTCACCTCTGCCCAGGCCCACCCTCCAGGAAATTTTGAAGAAACATTTCGGCCCTTCTAACGGTGTACTCTTGAGAAATGCTGGCTGGTGCACAAAGGCACAAAATCCTGTAATACCAACTAGCATGTCTTTTGGGTTGCAAGCCAATACAATTACCTACCAAACCTTCTAGTCACTTTCACCCACTCAATGAACAGAAGGCTCTTTAAGCAGACACCGGAGGGAGCCAAACTGTTGACTTAAAGGGAGATTTTGGGTAGCTAATCAAAGCTCTCTCCTGCTCTCCTTCCTACCCACTTCCACCCCAGTCTCCTGCAAGTCTGACCCCGTTTGGTGGGAAACTTTTGTCCAGTTTATGGATATGAATTAAAAGTGATTTCATTAGATTCTTAACTCAGGTGTGCCTAATCTTGTTGCTCTGTTTTGTGTATCTTCATTATTTCAATTGTTGCTATGCTAGTAAGAGTAGCATGTTATAATATACTGTTTCAGATATTCTCCTTAGCCTGCCGTGCTTCCTTAGGATTCTTCTGGTTTCCAAGGAACAGGTGAAATGTCAAAATTTTTTTTTTTTGTTATTTAGGCCATCATTATGAACAAATTTAGGTAATCAAGTCTATATTCACATGAAAATGTACATACATTCACTCACTTGCAGGCTAAATAGCTACTAGGGAAATAATTCTTCTTTCATTCACATTGGCTTTAAAGTGATTTAAATTAATTCTAACCACCCCCTCTATCCACCCCATTGGACTGATTTAACACCCTTTGATCGTGTTGTTTGGGCTTTTCTCTCACATGCTAATGAGGCATTCTCTTCAGCTACCACAACTTCATATAATCCTTGGGCAATTCTCACACTTTCTAATGACCCCGTCTTTAGAGGGCAGAGAAACTTGGAGGGAAGGAGGAGAAGAGGAAAGTGAATTACTGCCTAATATAGACTTACCCTGCAAATATATTCCGAAAATAGAATTGTGGCTGACTGCTCCTACCCTGGAAGATTAACTGTCATTGAGGAAGAGGCTCATTCCCACCTGCCATGCATAGACTGTCTACCCAACCAAAAGCAAACTATTGTCGTTTTCCCTGCAGTTTGGTTGATCATCAGGTGGTGATTTTAGAAATGGGAGGAAGTATATCTTCTGGGAACCTTGCTTTATCCTTAGATTTCCCTTGAGCGTGAAATTTACAAATGTCCAGAGAATAAGCTCCTGCTAGGGTTTGCTTTCTCATAACTGTGGGTGAAAAGCCTGGATTAAGCTGGTTAAAAGGATAAATAAATGGAAAGTTCCTGTCTTACTATCCCAAGATAGTAAGTATTTCTCCATGGAGTCATCTAAGACTCAAGACTTTAGCTGGTGACCATGTCTTCCTCAAGCAACCTACAGAAAATAACTAGATGGAATATGTAATCAAATCGAAGCCCAAAGTGAATGTGCTGAAACAGTGGTTCTCTACATTGGCTGCACATAACATCACCTTTAAAAACTTTCCATGCCCACACCTCACCCCACTCCAATTAAATCAGAATCACTAGGGCTGGGGCCCAGTCATCAGTATTTTTCAAATCTTCTCACATGATTCCAGGGGACAGCCAATTGAGAAACACTACACTAAGAACTAGGGAAAGAACAGGTGTTAAAAACTCTGAAACAACAATAGTTAGCTTCTGCTATCAAGAGCGCCTCTGCTCAGACATGTCCATAATCATGTCTCTTTTTCTGTGACAAGATTTCAGCCAGATTTAAGACTGGAAAATCTTCACATTTTTCTACTCTTCACACAGTACTGTTTTTCAATGTTTTCCTATATCTCACAAGTAGATCCTTTTAAGACTTAGCTGTGAGTTCCTGTCTTCATTGTAGAAGTATTATTTTGTTTTCCAAAAGTGCAACCATAGTTGGTAGTAACGTTGAATGTGGAAACAATAACTGACATTTCACAACAAGTATTTTCTCTTATATATTTTGTTCCATTCCAAGTCCTTCTCTTCTGTCTAAAAACATGCCCAATATTTTAATTATATAAAAAAATCTTCCTCAAACTGCATATTCCTTCAAATCCCTGCTCTCTTCTTACCTTTATGATTAAGCTTAAGAACAGAATACACTTAGTCTCTCAATGAAGTATCTCAACTTAGTCTCACAATCTATTTACTCCTTAACTCACTCTGTAGTTTCATTTCTGTCCCCACCACACTACTGAATATTTTCCTAGTCCTAGATCAGCAACACATTCCAAATCTAGTGATCACCAAATCCAACAACTTCTCCTCAGTTCTCAGACACTTGAAACACTCTGTAGCTCTAAATATTTCAAAGCATCTTCTAAAGCACCCTCATTACCCTGGTTTGTTTTCTATCACTGTGTCATCTTTTCCTAATTCTGTTTCCTTAATGTAAGTATTTTACAATGTTCTTTTGTCAGCTCTCTTTTCTTTTGATACCAAGATATTTTAAACTAAGGCCTACAAAAATTTGTGCCTGTGTGTTTGCACATTTTTCTGGCAAGGAAATACATAGCTCTCATCATATTCACAAAAGAGTTCATAACTCAAATAGGGTAAAGAACTCAAGATAAACTCAGTCAGGAATCTTTCCTACTCATGTGGCTCCATCTATCAACATCTAAGCAGGTAACTGCTAGTGCTCTACCTCTAATCATGTTCCCAAATTCCAAGTTCACATTTCCAAATGCCTGTCAATTTCTCGTGTCTTTTAATGGGACTCTCATTTTCTTATACATCCAGGAACATGACCTTGGAAAGCCAAAAGAATTTCTGCCTGCATATCTTGAGTCCACAAATCCAATTGGTTCCATTTCCAAATGGCATTTTGAATCCACTCCTCTTTTCAATCCTCATATTCACCATCTTGCTTTAGAACTTGATTTCTTCTTGACTGTTGTATTACTAGAGTCTGACTGATTTCCTTTTGTGTTTTTCATCTTAATCGTCTTGTACATATCAATCAGATCAATCTTCCTAGGCTTCCACTCTAATTTTGTTTTTCCCCTGCTTAAAACCTTCATAGTTGCCAATTTATTATTCAGGCTTTTAAGTTCCTTCACTGGGTGGCTCTAATTTACATTTTCATGCTCATCTTCTAATTTCCTTACACATTCTCTAAACTGAAAGCTGGACAACTCTCTATTCTCAGAAGATATACTGTGTTTTCTTGACCTTTAGATGTTGTTTATATTACGTCCAAGACAAGGTATACTCTCTCCCATCAATTCCTTCAAAAATCCTACTTGTCCTTGAAGGTTTATCTCAAATGTAGCTTTCATGAAATATGTTTGAACTACTAACTGAAATATGAAACACATTTTTGTTTTGGAGACAGTCTCATTCTGTCTCCCAGGCTGGAGTGCAACGGCACGATCTCCGCTCACTGCAACCTCTGCCTCCCAGGTTCAAGTGACTCTCTTGCCTCAGCCTCCTGAGCAACTGGCACTACAGGTGCCTTCCTCCATGCCCACCTAATCCAAGATAAGTTTTTTGTTTTCCCCAGTTTCATAGATGTGCCCTTCCATATATTTCTGCAACCATTTTAATAGCACCTACTTACTTCAGTGTATGGTAATTATGTAATCTCCATGTATGACTCTAATATGGTTTAGATGTTTGTCCTGTCAGATTTTTAATATTCAAGGGTAAATAACTGTTCTGTTTCATTCTTTATGTCCTGAAGTTAGCACATCTAGCACATAGTAAAAGCACAATGTTGAATGTCTCTCAATGATTTTATTTACCAAATTCTGTGCCCATATTTTGTTTCCAGTAAAATGCATATGTATTCCCAACAAGCTACTCATGAGTAGGCTCCATCTTACTCACCACCTATCTATTAATATCTACTGAAATGAATTATTTCAAGTTATTTGAGAAAACTTAGGATGTGTCAACATTGGAAATTGCTTTAATCTAGAGGTCTGACCACAACCTCCAGTGCTTTTGATTATCTCACTTTCTGCTTCTCATGTCAACTGCTCATCAACTACCTGGGCATTCCAACCCTTGATTCAATTCTCTCAGATAATTAGTCCTGCTTTGACCTCACTTCATTTGATTCTTTACTCAATCTAAATTTTATCCTGAATTATCTGAACCATACTTCTACTGGGACCCTTAATTCCCCAGTCTCCTTATCCATTTACTGACCTTGAAATTAAAAAGGTCCATTGGACATCCAGTCAGTGTAGCACTACTGGAAACCAACCAGCCATAAAAAAGCCCACATTATTCTTTATTAAACAGGTTCGACTCAAGAAGAAACTATAATTTTCCTGTTGCTGCCACTTCTCTGGGGGTTTTATTTTTATTGTTTCTTCCACTGTTTTATTTTTTTCCACTCCTGGATAAAAACTCAGCCAGGTCACATAAATTAAATCAATCTTAGGTGATAAAAAGTCTACTCCATTCTAAAGAGTATCCAGTCTAGTGTAGTGGGAAATCAGTTAGGCAAATGTAAAGTTTTTTTGTTTTTGTTTTTTTCCAGCTCAGGATTGTTGACTCTTAGGAAGCCTGTAGTGGAGAAGGGATTAAAACTAGCATCTTATCTTTTCCTACTTTGCCTTATCCTCTATTCCACAGATACTGCCTTGGCCCCTCCACAATTGGGATAAGGTAGGGAATATTGAGAAAAGAGATAAATGGGCAATAAAAGTCTATCTTGTCAGGCACAGTTGTGACATTCCCTCAGTTCCTTCTGTGCATAATATATATCCAAAGGTGACTTATGGGGCACGTTTATATTGTCTTCTTGCCTAGCTTCCCCTCTCTTTGCAATAAGGGCATCTATAGTTTTCTAGATTTAGCAGTGCCTTTCCTCCAGATACGACCTCATCTCAAGTGGTTGCCTGGGGCAGGGTTTTTTTGTTTTTGTTTTTGTTTTTTTTTTCAGGAGACCATGGCTGGCTCCCTTGTGGGGGAACACATCCGGTGTGTGTGAAACACACCTTTACCCCCAGTGGTAGATGCAACTAGCTCTCAAAGCATCACATTGTCTTGTTCTGCCAGCTCCAGCCAGAACCTTAGCTTTTAACCATGTCCCCTAAACTTTAGAAGACTCATGTCAAGCTTTCCATGTAGTTTTCACAAATGCTTTTCTCTGACTTTGCTAAAAATGCACAAAAGCATCCCCTCCCCTCTCTATGAGTGTGTGGAAAGTGGTGAACATATAGAAAACCAATACTCTCTGAAAGAGTACCTCTTATTCAGTATCTTTTAGATCAATATTGACTCCTCTCTATACCCAAAAAAGGTAATGAACTAAGGTTGCAAAACAAACTTTAAAATCTTTCAGTATGTCTTACATAGATAAGCTGTTATCTATGGGATTGTTATCAGGTTTAGGGCTCCAGGTGATCTGGAACAGAAAGATTCCCCAGGTATATATATTATCATATTTCCATATTGGTATCACTTACATCAAAGGCATGACTGAGCACTCAGCACAACCTATCCATTCCCTAATTGTCCTTGCTTACTTTGTTCCTCATTCTCCCCTTACAGCTAAAGACTTTCCTCTCTACTCAACTGGCATCATCCTTATTTGTGGGGGAAGTAAGTGTAGCAAGACATCTTTCCTCCTGTTACTTCATCTGGAAAACTAGTAACTATCGAGAATGATTCCTCTCAATTATCCAATTATCTATCCACTTCAAAACTCACCAGAACACCCATTCTTTCCTCCTTCTTACCGGTGTCAGAGAATGCAGTTTCCTATCTAATGCCTAAAACCAAGCCTTCTGTCTACATTTTCAAGTTTCTCTCACTACCTCTTCTGGTTTCCTTCATATCTTCCTGCAATATCCTGTTTATGCCAACTGCTTCCAGATTGCTTCCTCAGACAACTGCTTTTCTCACTCTATATTCTTTCCCTAAATGACATATATGTTTATTATTTCAACTACCTCCTCTATGCTGATGATTCCTTAATCCCTATCTCCTCATTGGTACATCTATTCAAGACATTTCACCTGGACATCTCAGACAATTCAAACTGGATCTCCCAAACTGAATCCATTCTCTCTCTAATACGCTCCTCCTTTGTATGTCAGCAACACTCTTACCCTGGTTGCCCAAGCCAGAAACATGGGAATCAACATTGACTCCTTCTTCTATAACCATACTTAATCATTCTCTAAGTTCAAGAAATTTTTGACTCCTACACTTTTTATATATTTTGCCTCCTACCCACCTTTACCTGCCCTAAACTAGAACTTCACGACTTCTAACCTCACCAACTATAGCAGGCTCCTAACTTATCTGCCTGCACTAAAGTCCTGTTCCCATCTAAAACCAGTATATTGATTATCTACTGTTGTCTAACACATTGCACCAAAATGTAGCCATTTAAAACAAGCATTTATTATTCTTCCTCATGGTTTCTAATGATCAGGAATCCAGGCGTAGCTTAGCTGTGTGGTACTGGCTCAGGTCTCTCCAAAGATTGCAGTTCAGCTGTTGGCTTTCTCTAATGTCATCTGGAGGCTTGACCAGGACCAAAAGATTCACCCCCAAGATGTTTTCCTCATATGACTATTGTTAGAAGTCCTCCATTCCTTCCACATGGGCTTGTCTACAAGTCTTTCTGAGTGTTCTTACATGGCAGCTGTCTCTCTCAGGGCCAGAGATCCAAGAGAAAGAGAACAAAGAAGAAGCCACATGACTTCTGTGATCTAGTTTCTGAAGTTATACACCATCACTTCATTTTATTCTCTTTGTTAGAAGCGAGTCATTAGGTTCAGCCCACATTCAAGGGGAGGGAAATTAGGCTCTACCTTCTAAGAGAAGGAGCATCAAAGAACTTGCAAATAGATTAAAATCACCACAGCCACTATCCTTTACAACTTTCAGAAAAATCTGTTAAAGCTATAAATCTATTAATGTCATATCACTTAATGAACACCTAAAAGATATCTCCCATTATGCACAGCTACAGTCACAGTTTCTTTACATAGCTTACAAGACTCAGTAATCTGATCCCTGAGTATGTTTACAACTTTAAGTCCCCATTACTCCTTACTCATATATGATTTTCTAAAACACTGAAACACTGAACTGCTTGTTATTCACTATATACTACTGTTTCTTGACCCCAAGATTTTTCTCAGACCTATACTTTCTGCATAGAATTTCTTGCCCTCTGTGAGTGACTAAATTATATTCATCTATTAAGTCCCAATGCATTTATCACCTTTGCTTTGCAAGATTTCTCAGAAATATGACTCCTAGCCCTAGGCCAAGGACTCATCTCTTCCTTGCTTCCTAATATATCTGTAAAATAACTTTTCTATTACAATAACTTGCACATATTCTCTTTATACAAACTGGCTGTAAGCTCACTGAGGGCAACATATTATTCATTTTGTATCCTTATATAAATTAGTATAGCACTAGTTGTTATAATAGTACCCCAAATCAAACTTCATATCTACATTTTCATGACATATTTCATGTTTAGGGCTTCTTGGAGAACCAGTACTGTGATCAAGGTGGTCTGACAGTTGCTAGATACACTTTAGTTCTTTCTGGAATGATACCACCATTTTCAAGTAGGATTTATAGACCCAGGACATCCCCCATAGGAGGTCAGAAGTGATAAGCTATGCTTAAGTTATAAGTCTTTAAGGAAAACACCATATCCCTGCTTCCAAAGTATTCTGTGTCTGTTTTAGTTGGAAGCCTCAAGACAGCCAGAAATTAAAACACAAGTAATCCTAGCCTGAGAACCAGCAAACAAAATCCAAGTACAGTGAGAGCCAAGAACCTACCAGTTGTCTTTAAAAAGTAACACTAACACAGAGAATAAAGCTCCCAGTTCTATAGCCAGATCTGGACTTAACATGTTCTTGGAGAGCTTGCAAATAGGGTTAGGAATGAAGGTGAACTATTGAAAGCAATGCTCTGAAACCATTATTCTAAAGAATTATACTGCAAGTAGAATATTGATCTGATTTATCTCTAGTCAAGTTTGTCTTCCCCATTTTCTAGGCAAAGACTTAAATCCAAAATAAAAATGAGGAAATCTTTTGCAAAATTCTTCTTGCTAAAAGAAGCATTGCATGTATTTTAAAATTTTCCATAGATTCAAATGTCTCAGAATTTTTTTCTCTGAAATATGTTCAAGAAATAAAAATACCAAGAATAATTCACAGTGTAGACTTTTTAAAATATTTAAGTTCTCAATAACTTTAAAACTATCTTTATTCTGTTAATTCTTTCAATAATAAGAAAGATGTGAGAGATAAGTGGAAAGAAACCCAAGCAAGAACAATAAATAAGGAAATAAATATCAAAAGAAGGAAATGATTGTATTCGTCAGTGTATTGTCCTATTAGGGGAACAAACAAAAAAAAACCAAAAATACCTTAAAGCCTTAGGCTTTTTTTTCCCCTCAAGCTAAAGCTCTTAGCAGAAGCTACATGAATTTCATCAATATGTTTATATAATTCCAAGCCAAGAAATTCTATAAAGATTACCAAGTATTTGATGTAGCTTCTGGCAAGAGATGAAGTACATCTCACAAGAACTAGAAAAAAATATCTGTTAGAAGAGTTGCTGATCTGATCAAGAAGATTTTAGATTAAAATCAGAGGAAGACAAAAAATATCTCAATAAAAGTGTAAGACTGAATACCATGAAAAACAATTCCTATACTAACAAAAAAATTAACAAGGTAAAATACCAAATAATTCTCTGTAGAAAAGCAGCAGGATAATGGGGACTGTGAAAAATACATCCTCAAATTAATATACAAAGACAGAATAAAACTAATAGACATAATAAATTGTGTTTTAAGGCAGATATAATCTCATAAGTATATTCTAATTTAATGGTATAATCAGTGACTAAAATATGTAAAAGTTATCTATGTTCAAACATTAAAATGGGCCCGATATTAGCCTCTCTTTTAAGAAGATGTAAATAATCACTAAAAATCATAAACATAACTACAGCAAATTTATTTGGTGAAAGAGTAGCAAAATTTGGGAGGGTAAGCATAAAGGAAAAGAAACAAATACTGTAGGAAGTTGGGCAATAATGCAGGCCATATATGTAGATGAAGTATATGAATAAAGCTTTTCCAATGGACCCTTAAACAGAGGTGGGGTAAAGTAATGGTATTTAACCATCTTTTCATCTGCTATTATAGAGACTTCTTTTGGCCAAATTAGAGGATTGAATATAGTCATGCTTTGATTTTTGGTTATTTGTACCTTTTCTACAGTTTAGTCCTTTACAACAGTAGGTACCAAGGCCTTAAATCTGCATTCTAAGCCTCATATAGTCTTTAAGCCAATCTTAACTGAGGCATATCATGTATATTAAATACAAACCCACCAGTAGCCCAAAATCCAGTGTTGGTATAACTGTTTGGAGCCCTAGGCATCTATCTACCTGCTTTATTATCCCTGAGTCTTCATTAGCCCACTCTGCATTTTCTCATTTATATGACTTGACTTCCACTTAATTTCCATTTATCACTAAAGGCCTAATTAGAACAAGATTCCTAGCTTAAGCACTAATCCACTTGGCACCTTGACACCTTTTTAAAAAAATGTCTGTTATGAGAAGTAGTTCCAGAACTCTAGATTTCCAGTTGCCAGCTGATGTCCTGCCTAAGTCTAATAAGCTGATCAGAACCACACTACTCTCCCTACCATCATCTTCTGGAGACCTTCTTCCCATCACCTGACAAAACCATGTTTTCTACTTCCAGATTTCTCTTTGACCTGTTGGCTTTCTGCTGAGGTCAAGCATATTTGGTCACCAAACCTGTGCAAGATATGTCACTGTGCTATTAATTTGCTCTTTTAGAAGCCCAAAGAAAAGTAACATTTACCTGAAAACAAGAGTATCATGAAAGAAAATTAAGATTTTTATTAATTCTAAAACTTATTAGTTTCAATTTTCAGTCTGGCTAAGAAGGAAGAACTTACTAGGAAATTGACAGGTGGCTTGGGAAAAGGTAAATATGCCCACCTAGCCAAATAAGTATAATCTAGCAAAGATTTCTAAAAGTTCAAAAAATATCAAGGAGACTTTAAGATGGGAGAAAATGGCCCGCAAAGAATGGGAAACTAAGATTAAATTATAGCTAATGATCACATGAGAAATAATAATCTAAATAAATTATCGGAGCTGGTTAAAGAACCATCTGATAAGGAGATTTGAAGCATAAGACTATTCAACACAATTTTACTTGTAACAGCAAAAAAATTAGAAGAACCTAAATTTCCCAAAAAGGAGACTAGTAAATAAATTGAAATGTAATAAAGTATTTTGAAATAATTAAAATTTTGTTCTATAAAAATATTGGATGTCATGGGAAAAAATCTTACAAAGTAAAACTTAAGGATAGAAATATGAATTTGGTTCTAACTTTAAAAAATATACCTGCATAAAAATGAAGTATATTAGACTATGAATAGTTATTTCTAAGTGATGGAATTTTTATTTTATTCTTTACACTCTGATATCTGGTTTTCAAATTTTCTTTAGTAAATATATCTTTCATAAACAGAAAAATGATTAAAAGTCACCTACAAAAGATAGATAAAGGAGCACACAACTATGAATGTCAGAATTGCAGAAGAACTCAGGATTATGAATAATGCTAAGAAAGATGAAAATAATTTTTAAAGTTATATTTAAAACAAGAAGAAAAGAATAGGCTAACCCCCATTCCTGCAAGGAGAAAAAGTTACGTTAACGCCGCCTCTCTTTTTCTGTCAAAGCAAATCACATTGGAAGTAGAACACATGTCTTAAGGGTGATTCCACGGTGTCTAAGAATACTGTAAAGGAGCACATAATTAAATGATTTTATGTCTCTAAGCCCAAGGGATTTATATGCTAGTGTTTGGAAGGAATTTACAGATATAATTATGATATTTCAAACATGATATCTGAGAAATCATAGCAATTAGGAAAGGTGAGAAAAATCTGCACATGGACAAGTACGTATCCAGTTTTCCAACAAGGACATCGAGATGTGTTAATGAAACTGTAATCTACTGATCCTAACATTATTTCCAGAATGGACCTTTAAGGAAATTTTGATCCCTTAGAAGGTAATACAGAGCTCTTGAGTCAACATATTTGCAGTGTAAGGCATTTCTGCTTTCATGATAAGGTTAGTAGTTAGTAGATCAATATTTTTTCCAGGGTGAGAAGGCTATGGTACATGGTTTTTAGGCTTCTAATTCTGAAATTTTTTGATAGCAAGGGTTTTTGTGATTTCACATAGCTTTTGGAAAAGTCTTTTTTTATCACTATGGTCAAGATAGACTGTGTAGATTGATGAATAGGATAGAAGTACATATTAATAGCTAGGTAAATGGCCGTATCGTATTGATTAATATGTCATGTAACCCTTGATTCATCTTTTTCTCTGCAGTGATTTGCCATGGAGCTGTAATCTCTTGTCTGACCATCTTATTAGTGATCAGGATAATGAATACATAAGTGACAGGCATATCATATCTGTAGATGTGATGAATTTGTAGAAGGAAATATTTAAGTAAATGAATTTGGGTTATAAAAGATTTTGATAAGTTATGCGATAAAACAATATACATACACAAATATATTTTGATTAAATATAAAGAACTACACTTTTAAAAGGAGTAAGTTTGACAAATACAGGAAGAAGAAACCACCTTGTTAGCATTTCCTGTGGGGAAAAAAGACCTATTAATTTTCATTATCTGTAAGTTCAATATAGCTAAAATCGTTCTGGGTGATCACACTGAGTTATTCAGAGGAATCGAGGATAAAGGGGAATTAGCCACTTAGCCTAATCCTACTATACTCACATGGGAAAATAAAATTAAACACAGCCAACGTTTTCAAAAGGAAGAGAGATCTCTTTATTATGTACATCAGACTAGGAAGAAAATAGGAGTATCTTCATTGGCATCTGCCGCCCACAACCCATTCCTGTCCTCATTCCTCCTCGTTCTCTCACTCATCCCCTTGATCATCTCCATCAGAAATGGAGTCTTTTCTATGGGTCCTTTTTCCCCACAGCTCATACTTTATTGGGTCATTATTTCCAAAACCTGCCCGGGGAGGTTTGTTACCTAAAAATAAGAATCATTTCAGTGGCTATATCAGGATACCCAGTACAGAAAAATTTCTAATTTGTTCACTCAGAGCCATGAATTTAAATAAAAAATATATTCAACATGAACTTTGTTTTCTTTCTTGTTGTTTACAAATAAGACAATCACAATATTCTTTAGGAAATTCTCTATAATCCAACTGGAAAAATAAATCAAAATATAGACTTGTCCTTCACTAATTGAAATCAAGCGTGCAGAACAAGGAATGTACCAGGTGGTCTGACTGTCCTTTGCAGTATTCCATTGCTTTGCTAGAGTATGCTGAGAAGTTCAGCCTGTCACATTCTGAAAGGCACATGAGGTTCTAGAAATGAGCAATCATGATAAAGCGCCTAGGAACCACAAAGCATGAGGATTACTGAAGGGACCATGGGTATTTTGAAAGAAAATATTTAAGAGGACTACTAAAATTGGAATAACATATTTTAGGACTCAGGATGTGTATTTATTATTGCCTTTAGTCACAATATTTCCAAAAGGATTAATTTGTGTTAAAGAACAAAACTCATAGGGAAGTTGTGAAGAACACTTTCAGACAATATGGCATACCTTAATAAAGCTCAAATTTCTAGTATTTTGTCCTGCAGACACTGGGACAACTAACACTACTACCTCTATCTTCCTAAGTTTCACCTTACCTCCACAGTTTTTACTATAGGTTGCCAGCTGCCTCTACTATGCAAGTGTTGGGTTTTCTCTTCCCATTTTAATACATCTCACTTTAATGCGCAATACTGGACAAAAGGACATTTTGTCCTTAGTACCCTATAGCATAATTTAGACAAATTCAAGCTTTCAGTAAGACTTTGTTAAACACTAAATGATTGCAGGGGAAGAATGATCCCAGACAGTGCAAGAACTGTATAAATAAGAAGCCCAAGTTTCAGAGCTCACATAGCTGACTTGTTCTTAGAGCTCCCAGCCCCTTCCCATTTCACATGCTCTCAGATATTAGCTACACTTTAGCCACCAAGGACAAACACAATTTCATAGGTACTTCTTTTTGACCTCTCACAATTCCTAAATCCTGGCCTGCCCACATGTAATGTACCATTCCCCTTGGCAGCCCAAATCAAGAGAAACTAAGTTCTTTCTCTTCTCCAGCTAGGATCTCTCTTCCTACTCTCTGGCCCAATCCACAATATAGTTCAATGTTCACATATAACTTAAAGCAGCACAATTATCACAGCATTTCTATAGCAGGATTAACAACACACCCACACAGTAAATAGGATGATTTTCTTCTCACAATATTTGCAAACACTTGATGAGAATGTCTACTATCACTCCTTTTATTTAAACTCGTACCGTAAGTCCTGGCCAGCATAATAAGACAAGGAAAAGAAATAGGAAAAAATGTCTTCAAACAATTAGAGCTGTAACAAAACTGATACAGCAACTTCATCAATGGAGTTTTTCAGCATAAGTGATGGAACCCACAATTCAGTGTCTCAGAGGGGATCTCCATACTGGCCAAGGGGATTGGGCCATCTAGGTTAATTTTAATATGCCATCAGTTTCTAAGATTAAAAGATACTATATCTCATTCACGTTTTCTTTTTCCTCTTTTTCTATATCATGTCACATTAATGAAATTAAATAGAAAGAATAAGACATTAACTGTGTCCTAGCATTAATAAGGAATGAATATGCTCTTTTTTCAATGTGTCTACATTATTCATCAATGGCTCTGTTTTTTAATTTAGCAAAGACTTTGGTGGCTGGGGGGTGAGGCGGGGTGTGGAATTCATGCCAACAGCAGCTGGCAATCATGAGCAGATGGAGCAACTATGCCTGAGGAAATAGTATAACGTCTCTGGTATATATTTGAATGCTGAGGTAACATCTCACATATGGGTTTTCCTGGTTTGAACCCTATCATCTCTTCATACTCTTATATTTCATCTTCATGATTTCAACAAGCACAGAAACACTGATAAAGATGAACTAAGTGTGGAACTAGTCTTGCATTTCAAAGAAATAATAACCCACTTAAAAGTATAAACTTAGGTTGTATTCCTGAGAAAAAAAGTTCTTGTGATATGTGGGTGGTGTATAATATTCACATCCCTGTGTTAGAAGTGAAGATTCACAGGTACTGACAAAGCAAGCTTCGTAGATCAGTTACGTTGCCTAAAGTATATACCCCACACTTTCAGAAGTTAATTCATTAATTCTAACATGGGATTCCAGTGTTGGATTTTTCAAATAATCACATGGAGAGGTTAAACAATTCTTATCCTTAAACAGTGCATTTGCAAAGCAGAGAGAAAATAACACCATCGGATTAAATAGACAGATGATAGACCGACAGACATATTTTTACAAGTTTTTCACAGTACAACTTAGTTGTTTCCATAATTTTAATTTTTCCTTCACAAAGGATCATAAGTATGTAAAATAAAAATGTCAATAGAGCAGTATTTGATATTATTTTAAAAATTACAGAAGTAAAATATGGTACGTGTCATAATCTTGTACATATATTATTAGCACTTGTATTTTATGCGAATGCCACTGCAATACTAAATAATCCAGCTTGTAGGGTTCCAAGTCTATGTACCCAGTAAGATAAAAATAAATTACAAAGAAAATGATGACCACTAGATTCATGTTAGAGCATACTTAAGAGAAATTCTGCTTATTTATTATCATTGGTTTTACATTATGTTTTGGTTTACACTTGTATTATTTTTTGTTTGGAGATAATTCTGGCAGAGCAGTGATGAAAATTAAGAAATAAAAGGTGTATTGCCATGAAGTAGAAAATCATCCAGCATGCCCCAAATCTTACCAATTTCAATTTTCACATTAAGAGAGGTGAATTATTTCTTCTCAGCCTTATTTTTAGTTACTTTTCAAGCATTTTTTTAATCCAATCATTCAGCAACTATTTATTGAGCTCTTGCAATGTGCCAGAGAATGAGCTAGTCATTATGGTTCAGAGATAGAAAGCAAGATTTCTTTTTTCAAAATATTCTTATAAGAGTGAATATGCCAAGGAACAGAAAAGCACAATTCAATATGGACAGGACATTGGTTTGAAACAAAGACAGGCAAGAGATAAAGTAGAGAAAAAGAGGCTGTCCATAGTTACCATGCTGAGGGGCTTAATTGAATAAGAATTAAGAGCCAAGATATTGAAAGGGAGAGCATTTTCAGATTTGAACTGAACAAATCATTCTGGACAGCAGTTTGAAAACATTGGATCACAAGAAAACAAGCCTGAAGTCAAGGAGACTCTGAGGTGATCTAGATGAGCCATGGTAGGTTTTGAACTCAAATAATGGCCATGAAAATTTATGGGAGCAAAGAGGTTGAAGAACTATCTCCTTGACTATGACAGAACTTCATGACTGAGTAGATGTAGATAAGCAAGGAGAGGAGAAGAGGAAGGAGTCAAGTGGCCTGGGTATCTGGATGGTCCTGCTCTTAACATTCACTGCAACAGAACATGTAGGAAGAGCTGAGAGTCTGGAGCAGAGGAAATAACAAGTTCAGTTTGAGACATGCTGACATTAGAGTACCTGTGCACCACAAAGATGGAGGTATGTTGTACACATCAATTCAGAGCTCAGAAGAATCTATTCATTGAGGAGACATCAGCACGTGGACCATAACTGAAGTTATGAGATTTCATGAAGTCCTTCAACAGGTCCTATGTGAGAGGCAGATGTCAGGAGATTGAATACACTGAGGACTCCACTTTCTTGCCTAAGAGAGCCTAAAGAGTATCCAGAGAGATTGAAAGTAGCCAGGATAGCATTGATATCACCGACACCAAGGGAAATGAGATCTTGAAAAGCCCCTGCTATGTCACAGGCACCATGCCAGACATGGTGGGGACCCATTAAGGAATATGTCTCTGCCTTGAAGGAGGTCTTAAGACAAAGCATATGCAAATTTAATCACAATATGAACTGGAAAGTGCCAGGTGCCTTTAATAGAAGGTTTAAATAAGAGTAGGGAACAGCCATTTCTATATCTAGTACAAAAGTGATACTATAGAGACTATTATGTGACACATGATCATGGTGTACAGTTTATATGGTATCCTACAAGTCATAAATGACCACTTTCCCAGGACGGTTTTTTAATTATCACAACAGAATGTAATCTCTCCCTCCTTTGAAGCTCTAAATATTATATCTCAATCAAGGTATGTATTGCATTCTTTTTACTATTAGATTTATATTTGCTGGGGATTTTTTTTTTATCCCTTTACAAGATTGTAAAGTTCTTCGTGGTCTGAAACTGTTTCTTACCCTCCGGGAACTGCCACTCCCTCCCCGAAGTCTTAGACCCACACCCTGCAACATTATAGCCTTGCTCTTGGAGTCATTTAGTTTTCGGCTCAAAGCCCATCTCAGTCACTTGCACAGCCCTTATCTCCCACAATGCACAAATTATGAATGTCCACTAAGCCACACAGTTTCCTCAACTGAAAATAGGAGTAATAATACATTCCACAGAGGGCTGTTGCATTAAATGTGATAATGTTTATAAAACTACCTAGCACATTATTTGGCACATGGTAAATATTCAATGATATTTTTCTTTCAATGCACAATGTAGTAAATAAATGTCTACAGAATAAACGATTTAATGAATGATCAGATGGCAACAAGTCTATGTTTCTAACCAATTTTCAGACTGCTTTATGATTCTCGAAACTTTCACAACCTATATAACTAGTAATCTTCCATATCCTTAATTTCCCTCTTTCCCCTCAAAGCTTAAAATTCTAAGAAAATGTGTCTTCCATTATCCCTCTTGCTCTTTAGCAGTATCTGAAGAATATATTGTAAAGTGAACTTAGCAAAATTTCTAGCTAGTGTTAAAATCGAAAATATGGTAACAGTGTTTAATCACAGAATCAAGGAATAATGACATCCTATTCTTCAAGAATTCAGGTTAATTAAGATTTCACTGAATATTAAATAAAGAGTCCAACAGCCGGATTTTAAATCTCATCTCTGCCACTTTCTAGCTTTGTGACCATGGGCAATTTATTAGACCTCCCTGTGCCTCAGTTTTCTCATCTGTTACATGTGGATAACAAGATGACCTATATCAGAGAGATGGTATGAGGATTAATTGTGTAAAGTACTTATAGTAACTGAGAAAAAGGAAGCATGCTATCCATGTTATCACTAATTACTTCCTATTTGTTTGTTCAGACTGTTACTTTTGTTTTCTTATAGATTGAAAATTGTTGCTAGGTTCAATTTCTCATTATTTAAAATATCTCAATATCCTCATATTTGCAGCATGACTTCCATCCTCAATTAATGAACTACAAAAAATGAAATAGAAAACAGTTAAAGATGTATTGAATTATCTGAAGTTTTTCAAGTACCAATTAAAGCACCAAAGACAGTTGGTATGGCATACATTGTTCCCTTAAAGGTATTCCTAAATAAAGCTTTGAGAACATAGTAAGTTTTGTTTTTTTTAAAACTGCTGTATCATATTACCAGTAAAACTTACAGATTGGTTTCTAACCAGAAACAAAATAAGTCTATGTAGACAAGGCATCATCGATTAGAAAAAACAGAAAAGCAAGCCCTGGTGTTCTTAGTGAGAACCTGAAACAAGCTCTGGCACCTGTGTGTGTGAGCAAGTGGGCTTTCTCTCTTGCTCAAGATAAAGGACATTCACTTTCGAAACAGCATGATGTCACCTTAGTGTCAGACAGATCTGGATAAGCAGCCAATGTGACCTGAACTAGTTCATTCTCCTTTCTCAGTTTCCTTATCTATAAAGGTATAAATGGGGGCCGGGCACGGTGGCTCACGCCTGTAATCCCAGCACTTTGGGAGGCCAAAGCAGGTGGATCACAAGATCAGGAGAAAGAGACCATCCTGGACAACAGGGTGAAACCCCTTCTCTACTAAAAATACAAAAAATTAGCCGGGCATGGTGGGGCGCACCTGTAGTCCAAGCTACTCACAAGGCTGAGGCAAGAGAATTGCTTGAACCAGGAGTCGGAGGCTGCAGTGAGCCGAGATCGCACCACTGCACTCTTAGCCTGGGCAACAGAGAAAGACTCTGTCTCCAAAAAAAAAAAAAAAAAAAATACTAATAACTACACCAAAGACCACTGTGGGAATTTAATGAGATAATACAATTAAATCCTTGAGCACCGTATCTGGCAAATAATGAATGCTTAATATATGTAGCTTAAAATAATAATTATCAGTTTAAATAATGAGCAAGATAGATTAGTTATGTCAGACTCTCACACTATAAACCATTAAACCCCTGGACAAAATATAAAAACTGAAATTGAAGTCTCTAAAGAACTATGAAAATAAGCAGCAAATTAAGCGGCTATGATCCTAAAGGAAGACATATGCTTTCAGTGGGTATTTCTCCATAGACACGCTCCAGTTTGGCATGGGAGAACAGAGCTCAATCAGAATGAAAGTCTCTTGCTTCACTGAAGAGACAAATATAAGAGTTTAGAGCTGCCAGAAAAGTGAGAAGGGGCAAAATTCAAGCAAGAAGGTAGCCCCAGATGAGGGAACCCTAAAACATGGTTCCAAAATTTTTCTTGTGTGATACACAGGGCAAAACTCCAAAAAAGGAAACAATATAAATCACCAGGGGGTTGCAAAGATATTTCAGAGACGTTTTTAAGGAAAAACAGTTTAGTATTTGAGTGCCTCAAAATTACAAAGGTTTGGTAAAAACTTCAAGCTTTGAGTTGAGAGTCTATAAAGCCTCACTCAAGTGTAAGGGCAAATATTATGTAATCAGCCCTAACAAAGACTAAAAGCAACCAACTAAAAGATCAAGATAAAGCATTACTGCTATAGCTGACAAAAAACAAAACAAAACAAAAACTTGATATTTAACTTGTCTATAATATGCACATTGATTCAAAACATACAAGGCTTGCTAAAAACAAGCTCATCAGCAAATAAAAGAAACGCAAAAAATAGAAACAGACACCTAGGTATTTTAGATATTAAAATTATAAAATATATTTTTAAATAGCAATGATTAATATATTCAAATGGATAGAGGAAAGAATGGAATTTCAGTGGAAACCTGAAATTCATAAATGCATCAAACTGAAATCCTGCAACTGAAAATATAAAAATTGAAATTAAGAATTTAGTAGATGGGTTTAATAACAGATTGGAAACATCAGAATAGATAATTTAGTGAACTAAAGACATGTCAATAAAAAGTGCTGTGATTAATCCCTATAAAAGAAAAAGTAGAAAATCTAGGAAAAAAGTCAGGGAAATATAGGATTCCATGAAAAGCTCTGATATACATGTAATCAGAGCACTAGAAAGAGAGAACATAGAATGCTAGAACATAAATGATTGAAAAATACTGGCCAGAAATTTTTCAAAATTGATGAAAAATGTCTGATTTTATAGACATAAGATCCAAAAAGCTGTCCAAACACAAAGCACAATAAAGGTGAATAAAACCACACTTAGGGACATTATGGTAACATTATTAAAAAACAAAGCAAAGAGCATTTAAAAAGTGCCTGGGGTGTAGCCAGGGTACATGTTATCTTCAGTTTAAGAAAAACTAATTTTGACTACCAATTCTTCAACAGAAAAATAGGGAAACAAGACAATGGATGGATATACTTAGATTCCTGAAAGAAAAAAATAATATTATCAACCTAGAATTCTGTACAAGTAAAAATATTTCTCAGAAAAATGAAAGCAAAATAGACATTTTCAGAAAAACAAAAGCCGAGAATGTTTTTCTGGGCAGACCTACACTACAAGATATACTAAAGGGACTTCTTTAGGTTGAAGGAAAAATGATCTCATAGACATATAGAACTTTAGGAAACAGTGGAAAAGAAAAGATAAATTTTGGGGTAAACGTAATTGCATATGGGCTAGTAAAACAATATATAATGTCTTACAGAATTTACAACATGTAGAAATATATTGTAAGGCTAGTACAAAAGGTCGAAAGGGAATGATGAAATTAAATGATGTTTTGCATGTTTAAATAATAAAAATGTATTGTAATTAATAATGTAACACTGAGGAGTAATAAAATATAAAATTAAAATCTAAAGATTTTAAGGTACAAATGTCATAATGTAATGAATAAATAGGAAGCCAGAAAAGAGAAATAAAGGATAAAACAGGATAATGTATTAATAGCAAGATAACATGTTTAAAAGAGCTGAATCAGTGATATTTAAAGTAAATGGAGTCAACTCTCAAAATAAAAAAAATCTGCATTTCACTCTGTTTAAGTATATGAAAACATAACATTTTACACCTCGAATATAATTTGTCAATTACACCTCAAAACTGAAAGAGAATTCTAAGCAAGTAAAAAATAAAATTGTACCTAAAAACACAGAATTTGTCAGACTTGAAAAAAAATGCAGTTTTATTCTGTTTACAGAAGTAACATTGTAAGCATATGTATGAATACATAGTTAAAAAGGATAAAGACAAAAATAAGTCTACCATATATTAACAAAAAGAAAAATTATGTGGTTAAATTAACAGTGAAAAAAGTAGATCTTAAGTAGAAGTGCAAAATATAAAGATGTACATTTCAAAGTCATAAAAGGGTTAAGTCCATAGCAAGCTATAAAATCACAAAGTTTTCAATACCTAATTAGCACAAAATTTAACTGTATAAAGCAAAAAGTTGAAAGAACTAAAGGAGTCATATACAAATCTACAATCATAGGCTATGACCAATTTCAATAACTAATAGAAAAAGCATACGAAAGAAAAGGATACAGAAGTTTAGAATGACATTAACCAAACTGACCTAATTTGGCTTATAGAACATTATATCCAACAATTGCAGAGCACTCTTTACCATGTATATCATATATATATATGAGAAATATGATATATATCTCTTACATATATGATATATATATATCGTATATATATATCTCTCACATATATAATATGTGATATGAGAGATATGATATATATCTCTCACACATATGATATATATATATATATATGTGTTGACTTTTTAAGGGTTTTAAAATTAAAATGAATATCCTAAGTCTTAGATGTTCACAAAGGGTTAAGGAATACAAATTTTAAGTCATTCTTTCCAAGGCTCTGGTGTCACGAGACATAGTCTTGGTCAATTAATTTATTATATATTAATTTATTATATATTAATTATATATTCAAAACCATGAATTCTTAGGAAATAATTCTGAGTCATTGCCATTATCCTCATCCTGACAGATATTGTAAGACTAGTACAAAAGGTCGAAAGGGAACCAAGACATTAAATGATGTTTTGCAAGTTTAAATAGTAAAAATGTATTGTAATAATGTAACACTGAAGAGTAATAAAATATAAAATTAAAATCTAAAGATTTCAAGGTAAAAATGTCATAACATAATGAATAAATAGGAAGCTACACTATATAGCTACACTATATAGAAAGTTGCCACAAACTACTAAGCTCCTGAGGTTAAAATGTGGGGCAGCGAGCAGTAAATAGATAATTCATTTATTCTACAATTAGTCCCATTTTCAGACAAATGTTATCCTATTGTAAGATTAAATAAAATAATGAAATACAGCAGGAAAATAAATCATAAATAGTAACAAGAGCCTAAGGATAAATTCCTAATGTAAAAAGGAATAAGTTATGTCTCTTTATTCTCAAGAAAGTGTTTCCTTACCATGTAACTTTGTCTTTGAAGGTTTTGAAGCATAATAATTCTGCTGAAGCAGCATAATGTTAATATTTTGCACTTATTTAGAGAAACAGTTTGGGACAGATGTACTAAAATACAAATAGAATTGGAAAAAAATATAAGATACTGGCCAATAAGAATGTGAATAGCTATAAGAAGTAACTTTTGAATTAAAAGAAGGATACTGATAAGAGCAATAAGAATTATTTTACATAGATGCCTTGATGGACAAAACATTACAATATAAATTAGAAAATTTTGAAGTTTAAACTTATTTAACTTTCTCTAAGAAGTCCATCATTGGTCTATTAGATTTTCATAAAATCCCCTATATATTTGCTTATAAGTAAATTTTTGCTTATAAATAATTGTAATAATATCATTATGGACTATGCCTTGCAAATACATCACCCATTCCTTCAGCAATCACTCACTAAGGGTCTTTCCTATTCTAGGATTGAGCAAAAGGCTGGAAATAAAATGATGAACCAGCTTTGCCAGTGAAGTAAATAAAATGAAAGTAACAGAAATAGAAGGATAAAAAAGTTTCCACGACAAACAATGACAGGCAAGGGGCCTGTTTTAGACAGATGGGTCCTAGGGGCCTTCACTTCGGAGGTGATACTTAAGTGAGAAGAGAATGGAGAGTTCCAAGTAGAGGGATCAGGCCTGGAGTTAGGAGGGAAATTACAGTTTCCAAGAACTGAAAGAGGCCTGTGGGACCTGAGCATGTAGAAGCAAAAGGAGTGGAACAGATGAATTTGGTGAGGAAGGTGAGGTCTTGATGCCAGGCTGAGGAGCTTAAATTTTATCATAATACAATAGATGGCAGTTGAAATGTTCTAAGAAGAGAACAGACATGATCTGCTTTATATTTTAGGATTTCTGCTGGTTGTTAAATAAAGAGTGAATTTACAAGAAATAAGAGGTGAAGTGAGAAGATCAGTGAGAAAGTGAGAGATAATGCTTGCCTGGACTGGAGTGAGCCTTCACCATGAAATTAAAGCAGACATATGTGAAATACAGAGGTTGGAAATCTGCCTTACTTATGTATTGTGTATAAGGGGTTCAGGGGCAAGGGAGAAATCAAGATGATCCCATAAGTCTATCTGGGTAGATAGTGACACCATTTACTGGGATTGAGAGTGCTAGTAGTGAGAGAACAAGAGAGAGGACAGCTTTGCCGAGTGGGAATCAAGAGTCTTGTTTTGGATATATTATACTTAAAATTTGGAGAAAAATGTTAAATTTAAGAATGAGGAGGTTTGAGGGGGAAGCTTGAAGAAGTTATCTGAACACATAAGATGAGAAATCATTCTAGGGATTTCAGAAGACATCATGTATAAAGAGCATATTCATAATTATAGATATTTGTTATGTTTAAGATTTGCCTGGTTGTTGCAAAAATAAACATCTTTACCATAAGGAAATTTGCCAAAGAGGTATAAATTATGTCTAAAATTAACATAGCCAAAACAGATCTTTTAAGTTTCTTTAAAAATTCTGCTTTTCCTCTACTACCATTTCCTAGTTGCCCAAGCAGAAATCCTAGATTCTTCTCTGAATTTCACACTCCCTAGCCATTCAATCTTACATTCCCTAGTCATTCATCAGCAAGTCTTATCCTTACCTCCAAATCAGATATAAAATCTAAATAATTTTCATAATTTCCACCACTACAACCTGCCCAGGTCATCTTGATCATTGCCATTGCCTGGATCTCTTTACCATCCTCCTCATTTGTCTTCCGGTTTCTACCTTGGCAAATTCTCCCTCATACTCTCACACACTGCATTCTCCATTAAGCAGCCAAAGTGGGCTTTTTTTTTAGCATGTCAAAGCATATAATTTCCTAAATGCTAAAACCATAACTCTTATGTAAATAAAGAAGACATGTCAAAAATGTTTAACTCATCAATGAGAGAACCACAAGGATTGTAAAGCTAGTTCAAAGGATAATTAAAGAAATAGGGCATATAGGAAAGGCATATTAAAATAAGTTTGTTGAGTGCCATGGTTGCATATGTCCCTCAAAACATGTTTTGGAAACTTAACCCCCAAAGCAACAGTGTTGGGAAGCAGGGCCTAATGAGAAGTGATTAGACATTAGAGCTCTTGTGAATGGATTAATAATGCCTTTACCATGGGAGTAGATTTGTTATCACAGGAGTGGGTTCCTTATGAAAGTATAAGCTTGGCCTCCTTTTGCCTCTCTTGCCCTCTCTTTGCCCTTCTGCCATGAAATGACTTAGCAAGAAGACCCTTGTCAGATGCTGGCACCTTGATCTTGGACTTCCCAGCCTCCAGAACTGTGAGAAATAAATTTCTTATCATTAAAAATTAGCCAGTCTACAGTATTCTGTTATGGCAGCACAAAATGGACTAAGATGCTAAGAGACAAACTGATTAATGTCCTACAGGCAATAAAACTGTAATCTTCAGAGTTATTTTCTCTATCTTTTCTGCAAGTTAGAAATGATTTGCCTTTCTAACAGACAAAATCTACAAGTTAACATGTGATTTCACAGAGTCTGGGCCCGAATCAAAAATAAAGTGAATGTCAAACAAAGGTACTTTCACCTAGAGAATTAAATAATCCTTGGAAAGGCCAATTAGACAATGTTCTAGTGTAATAAAGGATGACACACATAGCCATACTTTGGGCTTGTTTCCAAGTACATAATAAGTGTTCTCAACAAGCATAAGTCAGTTTCTAATCCTCTGTTTTCAAACATTTTTTCTCTTAGAATAACATACAAATTTTCTATCATAGACTATAGAGTCTGTCTACATAATCTGGCCCTTAACCATCTCTTTGACTCTCTCTTTTTACTATCCTTGTCAATCATTATGATCCTACCACACTGATCTTGCTGTTCTTCAAACATTCAAGGTTCTCCTTCAGACCTGTTAGTCTTTTCTCACTGCCTGCTGCTATTATACCAGATTTAGCAATGGCTTATGCCTTCACGTCATTCAGTTATTTGCTCAAATCACACATATCCACCTATGCACCTGCCACATCTCTCTCTCTCATCACTTTGCACTTTTCTACATAGAGCTTATAGTATGACCCAATAGTATTTCTTTATGTGTCTACTTGTTTTTATTGACCTCTTTTATTAGAATATTAAGGAATTTTTGCCTGTTTTATTCTTGAAGCTATCTCTGGTATTTTTAACAGTGCCTGGTACATACTAGGCACATAAAATATTTTTTGAATTAATAATCAAAGTATATAAACACTAGCATCTCAAAGTGAAAATGTTGTTTTCTTAAAATAGTTTCTGATTTTATTAGAGAAAAGTATTAAAGAAGTAATTCAAAAAACCAATAGTAAAGCAGGTGTCAGGTATGGGGCTCAGGACATGAAAAGACATTTTATTTTGGAGAGGAGGGGAAGGCAGCACATCAGTTCAGGACCTACAGACTGGACAGATCCGTCATGAAATGGCAAAAAATAAAGGCAGTTTTCAGATGCTGGTAATATGAGCAGGTCCAGATAGGTGGATTTTTGTCATCAAAAAGGATTGTCTGGCAATAGGTAAGTAATGGATATTATAGAGGGTGAACACGGAATAAGGTTAATTGGAGGGCAGACCACTATCATTCATTGATAGCTTGCTCTATGTGAGACTCTATACCAGGCACTTTACCTATGTCATCTCATTTAATCCCAATCAAAACCCTTTGAGGCAAGTAGTATAAGACTTACTTTTAAATAAGGAGACCATTTCTTCAGGAAGTAGAAGTTGCATACAATTAGTAAGTGGCAAAGCCTACCTTAGGACATGGGTCAGTTAGAAGCCCATGCTCTAATACTGATCTTTGCTGCTCCCTAATGCCTCCCCACACACAAACATAGCAGGAGATAGGTGCTCAAGTAGGAAGCTTTAACATGAGTAAGCCCACCTAAAGATTGCAGAAACAAAGACACATGGACCAGGATTCAATAGAAGAACTCAGTGAAACTGGGTGATTAAAAGAAAAAGGACACGCTTCTAGCTAACAAATCATCAGGGCCAGGAAAAATGGCCAAATCGTAGGAAAATAAGAAAACAGGATCTTAAATTCTATGGAGACAACATTCTTATGTTTTTAATCATAATTACCATAATGTTAACCATAATCTCATGGTGTGAGAGAGATTATCTCAGGTAGCAGGTTATCTCGAAAAGAAAGAGTCCAAAAAGAGAGCTAGAGCCGAGCCGCTGTTATAGAAACTCAATTCATTGCAATGAGTATTTATTGAACACCTTCTCTTTACAGAATACTGTGTTAGATCTGGAAGTACCAGAAAGTAAAAACTATCTCTTCCTTTGACCACGGAAGAGCTTTGAACTTGAAGAGCACAGCATTTAATAACTGCATTGCCTATTTTCAACTCAGGTTACACTGGAAATGAAAGATAATCTCCTTTTTACTACAATTTCATGTTTCATACAGGCAACTATGTATTAAGTTCATAAATCACTTCCACACTATTAATTCCATAGCTTTTCATTAACACTGGGTTGTAGAAGACAACTGAATGTTAACTCAGTATGGACTGTGGAGGTGAGAGGTTAATTCTGTTTGGATTGACACCAGAATTATTTCCCTCACTTAGATGCATACAGTTTTGAAAATAAGAATGGGAAATATCTCTAACAACTGACCAAATAACTCACTCAGAAATGAAGTACAAACTCATTCTTAAAAATCAAAGAGAAAGGCCGGGCGTGGTGGCTCACGCCTGTAATTCCAGCACTTTGGGAGGCCGAGGCGGGCAGATCACGAGGTCAGGAGATCAGACCACGGTGAAACCCTGTCTCTACTAAAAATACAAAAAATTAGCCGGGCTTGGTGGTGGGTGCCTGTAGTCCCAGCTACTCGGGAGGCTGAGGAAAGAGAATGGTGTGAACCCGGGAAGTGGGGCTTGCAGTTAGCCGAGATGGCACCACTGCACTCCAGCCTGGGCAATAGAGCAAGACTCTGTCTCAAAAAAAAAAAAAAAAAGAAAAGAAAGAAAGAAAAGAAAGAAAGAAAATAAAAAAAGAAATCAAAGAAAACCGAACCTCATTCTGATTTCTCTTACAAGTTTGAGGGAAAAAAAAGAAAGACAAAGCATTTAATAAATTATATAAAAGGTATTAAATACTGATCCATGGTATATTTATTTTAAAGTATCTGGTTTCACTTAACAAGTGACTTTTTTATTTGGCCATGAAAGTTAGGTCATTTTTCAGGTTCTGCTGTTTTCCTGAGGAAAATTGCTAATGCCAAGACAGCGCTTATTGTTTGACAAGCAACACAATGACTGGTGCTCTATGGATTGAAGGAGAAATAACTCTTATTTTCGCTTCCTCACATATTATGTTGTTCACAGTCTACTTTCATGTTAATTCTTTTCAGAGCACTTCTGTTGGGTAATGAAGGAAGATCAAGGGTTCCCTTTCAAGACTACAAAGTTAATTACTGCAATCAGAGAGCATTTGCAATAGTGGTTTGTACCAATGCTTATCAGGCCCTTAAAAGTAGTCATTTGCTTGATTCCTGGACAAATCACATAAAATAAAGGAGTCCATAAATGTACTTCAATTACCTTCCTGATTTATTTATCCCTTTCTTTCTCAACTGAAGTTCATTGAACTGTAGGCAAAAAAAGACAATGAACTGTGGTAGATTAAAAATAGAGAAGTTGTCATGGAAAATGATCCATTTCCTTTCTCCTATAAATAGATTTAAGATTTTAGAAAGGTGTTCATTATGAAAAGAGTATCTGATTTGATAGCTTCTTCAGCAGATTCTGCTTCAATTCTGAAAATTAAAGTTATATAATCCCTAGAATTAAAATCTTTCCATAATGTTCAGTTTCGAATATATATATTTCTTATATCTGATATAGTAACACCAATATAGGGAATAGGATAAAGAGGCCTAGAACCTAGTCCTGCTGTTATTTAATTAGCAACTTAATCTGTAACAGGTAAATGCAGTCATCCACTCTATTAAGGCCAAACATTAAAGGACGGGAAAGCTGAGCTTTTGCGTCAGATACCACATGGCTTCAAATCATGAACTCCCGTTTACTTGCTGTGAAACTGCAAGTAAGTTACTTAAGGCTTCTAAACTTTAGTTTCCTCAACAAAAAAGTGAAAGTAACAATGTCTACCTCAAAAAACTATAAAGAATATTAAAGGAGATAATATTAAAGGAGATAAAGTGTTAGATAATTTTCTAACACTTACTAGGAGTTTTTAAAAGGTGGCTAGCTTCCCCTAAAACTCACAATATCTAGATCTAAGGAAGATGTCATTTAGACAATGATGGTGCTTTTTTAAGTTGTAGAAAAGCAAAAATGTAACTCCTAAGAGACAATGATATCACTCATGATGAATAAAACTTTTCATATAAAAATATATTATCTGGAAAGGTACAGTTTACCTTAGCTTTTACTGATAAATAATAAACCAGTTGCAGTAGGAGTTCATTCACTTTGTTTCCTGTCAAAGGTGGCTAACCAATTCTTTCTGTAAACACTTGCTACTCCTCTACAAGTTAATTCCTGGCCTTCTATTGCTTTCTAAACATGCCTGTTTCCTTTGCACCAAAGTGCTCAGTCTGTCTGTAGAAGGCTGAATAATGCCCCCTATAAAAGATGTTCACCTCCAAATCCCCATAATCTGCAATTGTTACCTTGTCTGGCAAAAGAGACTTAGATATGATTAAATTAAGAAAGAGTGATGGGAGATTATCCCGCATTATCCAAGTGGGCTCAAAGCAATTACAAGGTTCCTTATAAGAGAGAAACAGGAAGGTCAGAGGTAGGAGAAAACAATGTGACAATAGTAAAGATTGGGGGGATGAGGCCATATGCTAAGGAATCCCCAAAACCTCTAGAAGCTGGAAGAAAAATGAAACAAATTTTCCCTTACAGCCTCCAAAAAAGAGGATAGCCCTGCTGACACTGGTTTTAGCCCTGGACTTATTTCAGACTTATGATCTCCAGAACTGCAAGAGAATAGCTTCATATAATAATTTCTTACACCACTAAATTTGTGGTAATCTGTTAAAGCAGCAATAGCATACTAATATACCATCAGTACCTTCTATGCTGTTGATAGCTCATCTGTTTTATAAAGGTGAAGAGTATTTTCTGCTTTTGGTTCTTCTGTAGTAATAGTGGTGGTGGTGGTGGTGGTGGTGGTAGCGGTGGTAGCAGTGGTAGCTCCTGCTACGTGTCAAACACTGGGTTAGATGTCTTACCCACATTGTCTCTTGTGCTTTCCCAACTCTGTGCTATGAGGGAACCTCTCTTAAACCCATTGTACAGATGAGACAACTAAGACCAAGATTCCAACCCAAAACTATCTGTTGCCCAAGCCCATTGTCTTAACTGCTCTACTATTCTGGCTCTCTTGACCCTATCTCCCATCTTTTCTCCCTTGTTCTCAGATTCCTATCCTATTGGGAATATGGACGGTAAAAGATGTCTATTTCTTATAGTTTCTTAAAAAGCAGGCTCTTCTAGAGAAAGAATGCTTTGACTTATAGGTATGTGTTAAAAGAAAATAAAGCTATTAAGAAACTGCCTACATAGAGAAGGAGAAGGGAAGTAGGAAAAAAGAGAAACAAATAGGGAGGGAATGGGAGAGAAGAATCTTTGAAACCACATACCCAAATTCGTTGTCTCCTAACACACAGGGGCTTTGAAAGTTGAGAACATCTTGAAGAGAGGAAGAGAAGTAAGGACAATTATAGTATACAATTAAACAAAAGCAAAAAAAAAAAAAGATACAAATATACATGGTTTGTACACAGAATCAGTGAAAAGACCAGCCTGATCCAAGGCTCAAATCTGAATTAGGAAAGGATGGAAAATATTTACAATAATAAAGCAAGGTCAGTTTTTGGAGACACTTAACTGTCAGGGAGTGTTCAGACCTGGTTTGTCGGAGGATGGAAAAGACTTTGTTCCTTAAGAGAGAATTACGAAAAACAGAGAAGACATTTTTTCTGAAATTTTTGCTTTTTTTCCCCACGTTATCAATTTTCCTAAAAGTGTAAGTTTAGAATTAATTTCAAAAGGAAGGTAATTTTCAGAAATGTTGACATAAGTCAATAACCATTCTAAATTTTTAAGTTTATAACCTAGAGGTAATATTACTAATTTTGAAATGATTTCCCTAAAAAAAAATTGAAATCCCTTTGCAAACTTACTTTCACAGACTATTTACGGTGTATTACATATTTACTCAGCTCTAAGAGGCAATAATTCCCTCCCTGGTGTTCTAAAGCTCTTCTAAAAGAGATACCAGAACCCATCTCTTGTGTAGGAAATGTTTGAAGATGGAAAAGCAAGGAACTGACGTGCTGACTTGAACTCTTTTAGCTACTTTATCTCTGTCTTCTCATTAATCCTGAAAATCCTATGGGGTAATATTTTTAATCTCCATTTTATAGATGAAAACTCTAAGACTCATAAGACTTAAATAAGTTGACTGGTCTTACAGATATTAAATAGAAAACAGTCTGAGCTACAATGTTGTCTATTCATGGGCAAGGAATTAAACTGAAACAGACATTTTAACAATAATATCCTTTTACCCGTCCATTTTCTATAGCAGCAAACATTCCAATTACATGGAAAAAGCAACTGAACTGGGGGATTTACCAAGGTTTCAATGTCCTCACCTCTTTGAATCAAGTATTCCTTGACATTCTTATGACAAAGAACAACTGTGCCTGCAACACAATTTGCTGTTAATAGTCTGAGAGTAAAGGATCCCTCAAAGAACCCTTTCAGAGAAATCTTATTAAAGAAGTCCCTTCCTTAAAAGGTAACTTAACTCTTTGTCTGGGGCTCAGTCCTTTGGATGTTAATCTGACTGGGCCAGTGCACCTAAATAATAAATATCCTCCTCAACCCCCCACCACAAATAGAAATGTTTCCTCCCTTTCCACAGCCCTTTTACCTGGTATAAAGAGTCCCATGTCTAAAAAGTATTTATATATATATATATATAAAATACACATTATTATTATATATATAATTATATATATACAATACACACACACACACATATATATAAACACTATAAAAGCTTGGAACCCCAATGCACAAATGCACAACTTTCAAGTTCAATTTTCTATTTAAAAACTGGAAAAAGTGGTGAATGTCTGCTGAGATGTTAATATCTGATTAAGACAGAGAACAAAATGGGTTACCCATGTGAATCTGAAAAGCCCTTAAGAACACTTTCCCAGAAAAGGGCCATAGCAGCAGTAGCTGCCTCATCTGAGTGTCATAAGCCATTTCCATTTCACATTCCATCCTGTCTTCCTCATTAAACCACGTGTCTTAGACAATTTGAGGTTTAGAAAAACATGGCCCCACTAGCAGTATGTATTGTTACTAGGAAGCTGTTCAGTTTTGCACACGTATTGATGCTATACTCCAGAGGCTATACTCCAGAGAGGGGTGACTAATGAATTTCCCACAAGCCTCTGAAGATCTTAAATCACATGTACAAAACCAGAGATTTTAAAGTAAAAAATTATAGTTTAACCATAAAAAAGAAATACAGGGAGAGAAGCCATTAGATTGTTTCAGGAACCAGACGTTTGAGCTTATTAATTAGGGAAGATTGAAATCCAGAAAGAGAAAATTCACTGAAATCGGATCAACTACCTTAATAAAATAAATTCTCTCAATTTATTTGAATAGCAGAGGTTAACACCTACCAGCTTATGTAGGAAATTAGAAACAATACCTATTAGCTTGAAATTTTCTCTATCCACCCCTTGTGAGTTATAAGTCAATCCAGATGCAGAATCTGGATGGTTCCTGCACTGTTTATTGTGGTAGTTAAATAACTTGGCAATTATTATTCTCAATGGCTATTCCTAAAACATCACCTTCTTTTCTAACTTTATTGTATTTCCCATTGATGGACAACACATATTGATAAGAGCAATTAAACTTAACACTAGTCATAAGAAGCAAGCAATATTTTTAAAAAGCACAGAATACCTACAAGTCATGGTATTATAGGGAACTTGTGTTTTCTTCTTAAAATATTCTTTGGTTTTCCACATTTTGAACATGTCTTATTTATTCAATCACAAAAAGTTTTAGCATGAATATAAATTATACCTTCTATCACATACTGAAATAGAAAGCCAACCGATCTCAGTACAGATTTCATCCAGAAATTAACAAAATGGTTTTGAAGTAACTTGGTCAAGAAGAAAGTTCATTGCAGAGAAAAAGTTATGCGTCACCAGATGAGGAGAACTAGCTTTTCCCAGGAGGTAAAGGGGAAATAAAAGGTCACACTTGTTATTATCACTATCCTTGCTCTGGGATAAGAAAAACTTGACCTGCATCCATGTAAATTTGATAATTTTGAGAGATCTTAATGAATGTCTATTCTACAAAGATCTCTGGTTAATGAGTCATTAAGAGGTAACCCACACTAGGCTTCACAGCATGCTCGTCTTAAACTTCGTGAATTTTCCACAGTCCAGAGGCTGGTAATATTCCTCAGATATTTCCAGCACATTGAGAACAGAACCATCTGTCAGTGAGATTGCCATTAACCAAGCTCATGAAACTGATATATAATAGTCTGAATTCCATTTTATTGACTTGCAATAAAAAATAACGATCTTAGAGACAGGAATACCTAAATCTGCATAACTAGCCAACTACTTATTTTAGATGGATCTAAACAGGAAGCCAATTCATAATCAAAAAATAATTTGAAAAGCATGAAATTACAACTGAGAGTTAAAATTAAGGGAATTCATTAAAAGGCAGTTTTCCAACACTCTCTGAAAGCCCTTTGGTTTCTGTTAAAGCATTCAATATGGGAGATTTTATTTCTGATTTTTAATTGCGAGGTGAAATGAGAGCCTACAATCTTACTTTCAAATTCTCGGAAGAAGCCTCACATCAGTCCCCAGCTACTAACCATGACTTTCATTTTTTCACTGTAATTTGCACTGTATTTTAATTAATAACCCTACACCTGTCTTGGAATGTGTTTTCTACCTTCTTTAGCATGAGCAAAAATTGCCCCACACTATTATTACTGAAGTCAGACAGTTATCTTAGTTATGTCCCAATATCTTTACACAGAAAACAATTAAGGAAGCCAGAAAGAGAAATACTATGCCATATCAGGATCCTATTCCTGATGTTTTACAGAGAATACAAGTCATTTATATAAAAATGCAATGTGAATGGGGTCAGTTACTTAAAAGAAATTATTGTTTCTGCTGTCATGTGTTCTACTTGGTGGCTGGAAATGATAAATACTAATGTTCTGAGATAGACTTATAAGCATTCAACTTACGTTAATAGCATCAGTACCATTAACTTACCCTCTACTAATTAGAAACGTATCATTTCAAACAGATTAATTGATGTTCATTGTAATTTTAATGAAAGTCTAAATTTAAATATTCTACACTTTTAATTTTTCATAATCCCAAACATAATCCACATTAGCAAGGCTCTACTACTGTTTAAACCACAATTGCATTCTGTTATCCAGAATTAAACTGGAAAACACAGATTTCCATTAGTACTTTTTTTTAATAACAATAACCTTTAGCCTAATAAGAAACTAAATACAACCTGAAAAAGATAAACGATGTCCAACCGAAGAATATTTTATTACATTTTTATATATTGAATATCATGCATGGTAACTATTAACTAGAATATTATAATAACCAGAATAAACACCTGCTAGTCTATTAAGTAAAATAAACTTTACTGTACTTGAGAAGTTATTCAAAACAATAAATTTAGGGGTCTCAACATAGAATCCTAATATTACAGGTAAAAATCTAAATTATTTTTTAGAAAGTATGACAAATTCCTACTGGCAGAGATATCAATAATAAAAAAGTTGAGAAATCTCTTCTGATAGTTTTAAAGATTAAGGCATTTAAGTTTGGTTTCATTATACAATGTTGCTAAAACTGTTTCTCCCTTATTTTCAACATATATTTCCTTTGTTTTAAACTAAATTGAAGTAATTCATTGTGAATCATCCATAATTTGCCCACCTATTAGATTTTATTAAATCTAATTTATTCAAAGGGTAAAAGATATCCAGGTGTAACTACTCAAACTTATTTATTGACCTTCAAGTTTCAGACCCAAAAGGAATACTCTTATGGGAAACAAAAATTCATACATCTATAAATATTTCATAATTTCTAAGAGTGGCTTTTTTGAGGGTATATAGGCTAAAGCTGAGGCAAGGGTTGGCTTCCCTGAATTTGCAAGTATCATTCATTTTATGTAAAACTGATACAATCTCATATTTCAGAATTTCCCATGCATATGATTGTCACATCAGACCTTTACAACAATACTCTTAAGGTAAGCATATCAGAGTCAATCCCTACTTCATTACACTAAGGAAGACACTGACAAGCAGAGAGATTCAGTGCTTTGTCAAAGACCACATGCCAGGAAATATCTGAGAGCCAAGACTAGACCTACATCATCTTAAGAAGTCCTTTTTTATTTATTTATTTCGTTGTACACATGTACCCTAAAACTTAAAGTAAAATAATAAAAAAAGAAGTCCTTCTTAAAATTCTCATTCTATTAAACAGAAGATACTAAGCTTACCTGAGTGTAAGTGTGAGGCCATACAACAGAAAATGAAAAGGAGACAAATTCCTTCCTAGATAATCTGGGGATTATCTCAGTCCTTCACTTTACTCCTTGTCTGAGACATCATAGCCCTGTGGATCATCAGGGTTGATCAGCCTGGCTGGTTAGTCCTGCATCTCTTCATCCCTTGCTGCATCTTCTATGGACAGAGTGAACAATGTTCTTAAGCCAGGCTTTCCTATGTAGCTGCATATCCCTGCTAGATGCCCACAACAACCAGCTCTATTTAAAATCACAGAAAACACAGGGTTATCACATTTTCAAGAATCTAAGATTCTAAAGTAGTGCTTCAAAGAGTATATGGCTTATATTCCAATGAGATTCTGGAAAAGATCAGAAGTATGAGCTTAAGTTCAGCTCTAGAATCCCTAAAAGATCCAATTATGATTCCATCATTCTCTTTTTGTCCTTATTCTTTACAAAATTTTACCTTCTTTACACTGCAAATGAAAGACTGGGCAAGAGTAAACAAAATGATCTCTATCTTCAGTTTACCTCATTTTTCTTTTTGTTGTTTATAACATAGTATTTTGGCCCTGGCAAACATTTGAGTACCTAGCAGTTCTAACACCTGAACACAGTTCTTGATTTAGACCAGAAGGAAGAACACAATGCCAGGGTCAAAAGTGAGCCTGTGTGTCAAGAAGTAGCTGATCTTTGAGACGTTAGAGTTACCCTTAATGAGAAAAAATACACAGAACAAACGTAAAAGAAAACAAATCACCCATGTTGAGTCCTAGGAGATGATTTCCCACAAGCTGTATAAACTTTCTTCAGTTAAACAAATAATCCTAGAAATGAAGTTTTGTTTTCATGCTTTGAGGACACATAGTAATGATTACCTGTGGTTTTTCTCACTGGAAACCCTGACAATGAGACAAAATATGTTGGGGTTTTTTTTCCAGATAAATGTCTTAAAAAGACATTTCTAGAATATGAACATTTCTTAAGTCAATGTTTTTCATTTAAATTTAAATTTTATAATCATCATATCTGACTTTATTCAAAGCACAAATCCTAGAGACAGGCAAAGTTTTTATTGGTTAAGAACCATTTCACAATATCCCACTCACTAAGATCTCTTGCTTACTACCTCAAAGAGGTGGGGGAACCTCCGCTGTATGAAATGTAGTGTGAAAGGTTCATGGAATTTCTATATATTCTGAGGACTTTTTTTGGAAGCAAACCTTTGAAATTCAATCTCAGATAAGAAAGCGCAGAAACTGAGTAGACAGGAGAGAAGTGTCCAAGAAGAAGTAGCTTGCATTCAAAGGTAATTGAAACACATCAGAAGAGTGTGTTAGTGTCTAAGTAAGACCTTGGGCCTAAATCCATATGGATGTGTAAATGAGGATTATGTAATACTCATATCCTGTATTACAATTGCCAAAAGTATATGAGAAGGGAAATTTTCACTTTGTTCTCTAGGAATGTGTATTCATTCATTCATTCCCATCTGCCTTTGACTAAACCAGAGCTCAGCGAAGTGGAATGATTCATCAAAAAAGAAATGGAAAGTTGACGGCACAGTCAGAACATCAGAGTTCCATTGAGTGTGTTCCACTGAAACACCTCAGTCCCTTTTAATTAAAGCAAATGAAACAGTAAAATGGGCTTATAACTTTTTAAGGTCCTCTCTAATAAACCTGCCCTAGACACTAGATATATGTTCAATGACCTTTAAAGTTAAAATAAGCTTTGAGACTTCTATGAAATGCTGCCTCCCATTCCCCAAAAAAGCCCATTAAAGTTTCAGATATGCCTGTATTAATAAAGTTGTTTAATCCCATTATTTTATCTCTTTCTGTTGGTCTTAAATCATCTCTCTACTTACCTCAGGTGATGATTGAAGTTTTTTATGTATTCCCTTAGTCTATTAATCCTGACCCTGCTAATATTTCACATGGCAGCCTCATTTAAATAGTACAACCAAATATTTTCATATTATGTATTACTAAAAAGTACTAGCGTTTTTCTCATTTCTTCATTGGCATTCAAACAGTTTTAAACTAAGTCTCTTCTTTATAGGTACAGATAAGAAAAATAGAATGAATTATTCTCAAGTTTTGATTAGATGCTTTCTGGGTTAACTAGATAGTTATGATTTATTCATAGGAATACATTAATGATCAATGATAGCAACACCAATATTTTTCCATTATCACCTAAATAATTCTTTAAAAATTCAGAACCTAACACTGGACCACAAAAGGAAATCATCGTTTCTAATGCATTTTTACTATGAACAAAAACATACTTAATATCTTCCTTTGTAAGTCCCAAAATATATGGCAGTCTTTAAATACTGTTCACAAACACACCACAGACAACATCAAACATTTAGTAGTTTGCAATACACCAAAGGAAAAATGATGATTTATTCAACTTTAATCGGCTCAATATTAATTTCATGAATTTTACACCTAGAGGATTCTGATTGCTGTAGTTCTTACCATGAATAAATTTTGCTCTTGAAAACTGGTAATTAATTCTTACACCTTGAAAGACTGAAAAACCTAGGCCTCTGAATACATTTACATGGAAATTAACATTCTTTTCTACTGTTTCTTTGAAATTTCTTTAGAGATTACCTTTCCTCGTTCTGTTCAGACTGTATCAAACATCCATTAATATAGTTCCTTTTTCTTTATATTCTCAAAGGCTTGGGGTTTAGAGAAACTTCAAGTGTGCAAAAATCTCAAAACTAAGGACAAGTCAATCAATGTTAACTATGAACTAATTTCTTTAATCTTGAGAATGGTGTTGAATGCTGTATTGTTAGGCAATACTGACATAGGCATCTAATTCACATATAGCTCTTCCCTTTATATAGCATTTTTTTGAACATCCAAAGGCAGTTTTAATAAGGGAACTTATGTATAATATAGATTATATTTTGATATGAAAATAAAATCTGGTAGGTAATGCTAAAATATAAATGAATGTTATAAAACTATTCCAATGAGACATTCCCAACAGCTCTCTATTTTTTCCTTCCTTCCTTCTGTCTTTCTTTTAAATTACCTGCCTTTTTCCTTCAATGTCATTTATTTTTCAATCTTTGGACCACTTATTTTCTCATTAAAGTGAAACACAAAGAATGGCTTTCATTACAACTCAGAGAGGTGAAGTACCAGTCAATTGGCACCAACATATAGTTTCCCTCACTGGAGAACTGAGAGAGTCATCTCTATTTCTCAATTTTGAGACAGACTCTTCACAATGAATAAGTAATTTGAAAATCAAAAAGACATTTTGATGAAAAACGAAGCTGAGGCTGAACTAGCTGCATGGTTTAAGTCATCTATAGGCTGAGTTGTGAGCAAGTAGACAAAGCTCTAGAAGCCTTTTAAATTTTTTTGTAAACATACTGACCCATGTATGCATACACTATAAAATCTGGCATTAAAAAGAGCACAAGAGTCTTTTCCTTTGTTTTGCATACATAATTTTGAGAAGCACTTTTTTGGATCAAATGCTGCAAACAAAAACAAAACAAAAAAGAAACAGTTTAGCCAAGTTCTAGTTTTTATTCTTGGGCTCTCTAATAATAATTTTATATCACCATGCTTATAGGACATAAATGTTGCCTGATCAATCTCATCTCTCCCCTTTGGAAAAACTTGTCTTTGAACCATTAATTTTTATATCATGTTTAAAGATCACAAAGCAAGATTATGCTGATGAAGTTTATTAAAAAATTTGGAAGGCAATTTTATAATAGCAAGTAAACACAAAAGTGTCAAAGCACCAGAAATACAGCACCAGACTTTTAGCCCATCTGCAGATAATCTGTCTAGGATGATAAAACTTGTCCTTTGTTTATACAAATCCATAGACTATTTGAATAGAAATTTTATAATATACACTACATTTCTAATTCTAAGGATAAATGAAAATTACTAAGAGACACAATTTATAATGAATTCATTGAAATATTAGACCATTTCAATTCTGACTTTCCTATAGTTTGGAAAATTCCTTTAGCCCTGAAGGTCAAGGCACAGTTTAGTGCTAAAAATACCTGTTAGAGTTTAAAGTAGGGTGAGTAGAGCCCATCCTTTTTCACAATTTGTTATCTCCATAAACAAAGCTATATTGAGAATTTCCTCTGCAATTTGTATGGTATGATAAAAGATGCTAAATTCAGCAGAGACCAGGGTCTCAGCTTTACAATCTAAAAGAACAGAGAGGATAGACACACAATAGACCACATATGTCAAATGGCAACTACAGATAATAAGCATTCAGAATAGGGGAGGTCACTTCCAGTTGGTGTTAGTCAAAGCAGGCTTTATGAAAGGCTTTGTGGTGGGCAGTATGCTGATGTGCAAGTGGTAAAACAGAGGACACTACAAATCAAGGAGATGACACTAATGGAAATGTAGAGTCAAAGGAGTGCAAGGCTCACATGGAAGCATATGGATCCGGGAGCTAAGAGCCAAGTGCACAGTTGTTGAATGAGGGAGAGAGGAGAGGTTACTCTAGTATGCCAGGCACATGATCTTGAACTAGGAACACTGACCATAGATTGGCATTGACAAAATGGGTTGATTTTTTTTTAAGTTGACTTTAATTAGCAAAAAAATAGCAATGTTAAAATAAACATTTCATAATTCACAATTTCATCATATTAACAAAGCAAGTATTTTTATTACTTTGTATTTCCTTACAGGGATTTGTCCATATGGCTGAATATTTTTTCCTAGAAGTTGTCATACAATTTTGCACTTAGATATTTTTCAGTGAACGTTATAACATCGAACATATCTCTGCTGCTTTTTAAAATTTTCTTTGAGGAAATATACTTCCCTAGAATACTAAATTAGACCGATAGCAAGAGTAGCTAAAAACAGAAGTAATTTCTTGATGAGTTTTTATAAACACACTTGTTTGGAAGGTCCTTGAGCATATCTACACTTTCCACATCTTGAATTTTCCAGACCAACCCTGATAACATTTTTTCCTATAGTCCTCCCCTCTCTATGACTGGTACACTCAGACAACAGATTTTTGTGATATATATTAATTTTATTCTGTAATTTTAGCAAACTGATTTGGATCACAAATATCCTTCACTTACTTGCAGTGTGAACTTAGGCAGCTTGCTAAGTTCTCTAAATCTTAGTGTTGTCCTCTACAAAATGAGGCGAATAATGATACCTCCTCCTAAGATTGCTGTGATGAATTAAGGAGGGCTTCCGTGACAGAGAGTGTGGACTGTGGTTAAGAACAAAGACTCTGGGACCATTTTGCCTGAATTCAAAATTTAGTTCTACTCCTGGCTCTGGGACCTTGGGCAAGTTATCTGACATCAACTTGCTTCATGAGAACAATGGGGATGATGATAATAATAGACATATATGTACTCCTGTCAGGGTTGATGCAGGGAACAAAAGAGCAAAGTGGATAAAGTGGCTTGTAATTGTGCCTGGCAGATGCATGTGCTATGAATGGGTTCATTATTATTACATAAAATGGTTGGCATAGTATTTAGATCATGGTAAGCAGCCAATAAGTGGTAAAAAGTAATTATAGATGTTACTTTTTACTCAAGCAGAATGCTTTTATCATCTCTCTTAATCAATGTTTGTTTTCCTTCCACTAAACCTGGGAGACATAAACCTAGTTTATTTAACAAACGATTATATAATATTTACCAAATGCCAGGCACTGATGAAAGCACTTTACAAATAGTTCATTTAATTTTCATTAAGAACCCTATGAAAAAGGTACTGTCATGATTCCCACTTTAAAAAATGAGAAGCGTGAATTACATAAAGGTTATATAATTAGCCCAATGTCACTGAGAGACTATATGTCAATTAATCGACTCCGGTACTAACAACAGATAGAACTGGGATTCTAAGCCAGTCTCTCTGGCTCTAGAGCCTACACTCTTAATTAACTATGGCACTGTGTGGTTTCCAAGAAAGGAAAACTTTCAACCCATAGGCCCTTTACTCATGCAACCTTCTGGGCCATATGCCAAGCACCATAAGCCCCCTTCTTGACACTTGAAGATCTATGGGAACAAGGCCTATAAACATTCAGGCTCCATGCCCAGTGGTCTCTATAGTTTGTATCACCAGTTCTCCAATCACCACCCCAAACACACATCCTACAGTGGCCACACATAGAAGCCTAACAGTTCAAGAGATGTCTGGGAAATTCCAAAAACAGAAGGCAGATGAGAAGCAGCAGGGAATTTTATCCATGAATGTCTTCACAGAAGAATCTAAATGCTGATTGAGGGCATGTTGCCCTCCATTGAGGAGAGACCAGCCCCTGCTGGCAGGAAGCTCAGCGTTGACAACAACTACTGAAAAGAAGGCGGAGAGCTTTGCCAGCTGGGGATAGACATCTGGCAAAGGATCAGAGGGGTGCCACGTCAACGAATCCACCCCAGAGCTGGATTTAAACACATTTCCTCTTGGTGCTATGCAAGAGCTTACTGAGTCCACTATTGGAAGAATAGAGCTAAAGAAATTCACCCAGAAGCAAATCAGTTTCAAAGTAATGAGGGCATAACTCCTAATTATGCATCATTAGAGAGCCCTCCTGACCAGAACATAACTGAGGCTGGCCAGAGTCTAGTCTGAGCATACCTTTAAAGTTTAAAATATTGAGCAACTAGGTTTTATTTAAGATTCATGTCTCCATATAAGCAAGGTGTAGGAGAGTTCCTTCACAATCAGCTAAGTAGCTCGAATCTCTGTCACACACATACATATACACACACACACACAAACAGAGTTAAAAAAAATCTTAATTTTTAATCTTAGAAAAAAGTTATAGAGACTATTTCACTTTGACACCTAAATTACAACCTACATACTCAAGGTTTTTTTTCATTTATAGTCAAAGTAATTACAAGCTTTGATTTCCCTATGTGCCCTTGTTTGAGTGCATTTAAGTAGCAATGAAGGCTGGGTTTGGCCCTGAACTCAAACTTTCAGACCGTGAGTTTTTAAGCCCAATTGTATTTTGCATTCCTAAATTTTTCAGTTATTCCAATTCTCTGTCTTCCTTAAGGTCCCCGTAACCGCAATGAGTTCCCCTAATTCACCCAACTCCACCACACTGCTCCATGGCTCTCCCCAGACAAACTTGCTCCCTACCCATCCTACTCCACTGCTTCATAGTTCCCCCTCAGCCAGCTAATCACTCATCTTATAGGAGGCTGCTTCTGCACCCTCATTCTAATGGCCCAAGTAAATTTTATTCTCTTGCATATCTACCTAACCAGGCTTCTCTTTGATTGTCAGTTTTGTATGGCCCCTTTATTTCAACATTCTCTCAACCTCAGGTAAGAAATGCCTCTTCCATCAGACCCAGCCTTGTGGTACCTTCGGGGGGGTGGGGGTAGCAAATGGAACCACTCTGCTCTCATCCCCAAAGATGGACACCTGAGATTCTCTGCTATCAGCTCACACCTGTCAGTGAGTCCAGTTTTCTTCTTTCCTAAGGGGTTTAGACCTTGAAATGATATCATATTAGTAGATACCAAAGTTCTATAAATTGTACAGATCTAGGAATGCTGAAATTTATAAAATTAGGATACACATCTGAGCCTTACCATAAATGTCTGTAACTAAAAAATGTATCAATATATATCCTAAGACTTAGTAGATGTAGTGAGACAAGAGTGGAAGAGAGACATGCAAGAAGTGTGAATTATCTTTGGATGACTTTAAGGAAACATTTGTCCTTGTAGGGACAATTGCAAAGTTAAGCAATGGGAATAACCTATTTGAGGAACCAATATGATGGCATGTCTTGCTATTAAAAAATGGAGCTAGCATTTCACATTATGCTCAAATTAAAGCGAGCATTTTCTTCTATCTCAAAGCCAAATTTGAGTATGACCTTGTACCCACAGCCACACAATAATCAAGAGACTACTTGTTCATAAGAAGAATAGGCTGCAAATGTAACTTCTATTGTCTTATCTTTTCATTTTTTCATAATGCAAATATGACCAATTAAAAATGTAAGTAATATAGTCCACTTATTTCTTTTCTATGAACTCCCTAACTTTGAATTTAGTTAGTTAAATTTAAAATGCCTATTTTTTTTCATTTCAACTCTAGAATTCTTATGCTCTCTTCTGCCATTCTAAGTGGTTATTCCTCTTCATGTTTTTCCTAAGTCTTCTAATACAAATGACTGTTGTTTTGAAATTTCACATTTGAATAAATTACGTTTATGTTTTATATTTACTGGGAAAGCAGATAGCCCAGGAAAAGTTAAAAAAAAAAACTTGTATAAAATAACTATAGAAGACTGAAGTACTTGATGTGCTTTTCTGAATTTCTATGTCCAAAAGTAAGCTGCTACTGTGTGTGTGTGGTGGGGGGTGGGGGGAGGGGGCGGGTGGTGGGGAGAGAGAGAGAGTGAGAGAGAGATTTCATTAACTTGGGGAAAATAGTTTTAAAAACATCCTAAATTTACAGTGGAATGAAGAAAATAAAGTTTCTTTCTCTGTAATTCCCAACTCTAGTAAACAGTGTATTTTCTCAGAGTCTGTAGAAGACAATATAGCCCAGTGGCTAAAGTTTGGACCTTACAACTAGATAATAACATGTCTTTAAAGTGTTACTATGTGTCAGTCAAATATAACAATAAACCAAAAGGTAGATTGTTATTATTATTATCTACATTTTACAGATGAGAAAACTCAGGCACAGAAAGGGTGCCTGAAGTCACAGTGTTAGAAAAGTGTTAAAGCCCCTGTTCCTCCTATCCAGGTTGTCTGGCTCCATTATTCATGCTTTGAACCACTCTTCATGTTGCTTCACTTAACTTGTAATCCTGGCTCTACCATGTAGTAGCTGTGTGGCCTTAGAGAAGTACTCTCTCTGAGCCCCACTTTCCTCATCTATAAAGTAGGGACCATAATAAAATATATTTCTTGTAGTAGGGGCTCAATATGATTTGTCTTCTCTAATTTAATTTAATTTAATTTAATTTTATTTTATTATTATTATACTTTAAGTTTTAGGGTACATTTGTGATAGAACAGTTGCCTGTAAAACATATATGACAGCTTTTGTGAACATTTAATAATGGACAATTTTGCAGAGCAAATCCTAATACGGAACAACAGAGCACTGCATGCACATATGTATATAAATATGTATGCATATATTAGGCCATATTTTCCTGAATTATTTTTGCAAAATATTTCCACAATATTATTTGGTGGCATGTTAAATATACTAAGCACTTTTCTACCATTTTATATACTTTTCCAGAATAAATTCCTTCATCATTTCCTTTTTACTTTCTCTTGTAGTCTCTGTTCCACTCCCATCATTGCACAACAATTACCCTATTCGTGATCATTGATATCTTTTAGCTGCCAAATATACTGGTCTCTATTGGTCTTCATCTGGCTTAGCTTTTCAGCTAATGGAAGATGATGTATAATGGGTGTTCAGTAACAATTCACCATCATCACAACTTATAGTTAATTAATTACACATAATTAATTACACTGTCCTAAGCCAGGCACACTCTAAAGCTCTTTTTGGTTTGCTGGATTCATCTTTTTCCACCTACCTCCATTACACATATAATTCCCCAAGGTTCTGTCCTCAGTCCTCTTTTCATTTCACTGTTTTATTTACACTTAGGGAACCTAGATCCATCTCTTCTATTAGGGTACATATACTTTAAACCTGACCTAATCCTGAATTCTAGACACTCAATTCCAAACCTCTGGACATTCTACATGAATGTTGAGAAAATACCTGTAATTCAACATGACAAAGCAGAATTCACCTCCTACAAAACCTGTTTCTACTTTTGTATGCTCTTTCTGTTAGTGGCATCCTAATATTCAGATCTTCCAGAAGAAAACCTCAGAGGTAGTCTTAACTTCTCTCTCTCCTCAAAGTCTAGTCCTCAAATTCTGCTTACTTTACCTTTGACTTGCCCCTTAACCTCCTCTTCACTCCTGCTCTTCTCTATAACTGGTCCTAATTACTTTTCATCTGAACCACTGTAGCTGTATTTGTAAGCCATTCTTCCTTCCTCCTGTCATCATTTTCAGTACTTTCTGTTTGCTGCCATAGTGTTCTCTTCCTAAAACTCCTTTAGCGTTATGTCACTTCATCACTCCTCTATTTAAAAACCTTTAATAGTTTCATTTAAAATAAAGTATATTTGGGGGGAGGTACATGAGATAATTTAATTCATTCAAATAATGTACAAAGATCAAATCAGGGTAACTGTCATATACATCACCTTGAATATTTGACTTTATGCTAGAAACATTTAAATTATTCCCTTCCAGGTATTTTGAAATGTACAATAGATTATTGTAAACTATAGTTACCCTATATATCTATAGAACACTAGGTCGTATTTCTTTTTAAAACTGTACATTTGTATCCATCATCAACCTCTCTGCATGGCCTTACCCCTCTACTCTTCCCAGCCTCTGGGGACTGATCTATTCTCTATCTTCAGGAGATCCACTTTCTAGCTCCCACATTTGAGCGAGAACATGCGATATTTGTCTTTGTGTGTTTGTCTTATTTTACTTAACATGATGCTCTGCAGTTCTATCCATGTTGCTGCAAATAACAGAATTTCATTATTTTATATGCCTGAATAACATTTCATTGTGTATATAACATTTTCTTTATCAATTCACTCATTGTTGGGCACTCAGTTAATTTTATATTTTGGCTATTGTGAATAGTGCTGCAATAAACATAAAAATGCAGATATCTTTGATATATTGATTTCCTTCCTTTTGGATATATAACCAAGAGTGGAATTGCTGGATCAAATGGTGGTTCTATATTTAGCTTTTTGAGGAACCTCTATACTATTCTTCATAGCATCTGTACTAATTTGCATTCCTACCAGCAGTGTACAAGGGTTCTGCTTTTTATATAGCCTCATCAGCATCTATTAGTTATTCTGTGACTTTTCGATAAGAGCCGTTTTAACCGGAGTGAGATGACATCTCATTTTGGTTTCAATTTGCATTTCTTTGATGATTAGTGATGTATATATTTTCATATACCTGTTAGCCTTTTGTATGTCTTCTTTTGAGAAATATATATTCAGATATTTTGCTCATTTTAAAGTCAGATTATGTTTTTTGCTGCTGAGTTATTTGAGCCCCTTATAGCCTCATATTCAAAGTGCTCCACAGCTTAGCTCCTCTTTGTTAATTGTGTTCAACTTTCAACCTATGTCTCATGTAACTATCACCTTCCTCCACATATCCAGATATCCTGTGCTAACAGTTTCCCCATGAAAGCCCCATATTTTCTCCCTTCATACCTTTGCTCATGTTATTGTCTCAGTCTGACACAACCTCCAGGCCCCTCCCTACCCCCCGTCAAACCTCACCTATCCTTCAAAGCAAAATGCAACTTAGAGCTTGTTTCCCTGTTCTTGTAGGATGCCTTTTTCTGTACTTCATTTGGTACAAAATACAGTCTCTTGTTTGAATTACATGGCCAGGGCAGCAGAAATATGTCTTAACTATCTTTATGTTTCTTACAACTTCTAGCAAAGTAGTTCTATGTACATAGAAAATGTCCAGATATTGAATTATTGAATTATTAAATTAGTATATATGACAACAATAAAAATGGGGCTCACAGACTTCCAAATATAAAGAACGTAATTGACCAAGGGCCCCTACTACTGGGTTCGGAGCTCTATGCTGCATTTGTGCTAGGTCATGCCCCTTAGAGCTCCTTCCAGCCCATTGTAGGATGTGACAGGGACACTAAGGCAGGTCCATTCCTAGGAGACAGGAGGACTTATCTGACAGACAACTCTGACATACAGCTATGCTGAGCCTCCTTACATCACACAAGAGTCAAGGGCACATCCACACACCAGTCTCTACTTCTCTCCCTTACTGCTGCTCTTCCTACCAATGTCTGGCATCATTCTCATGCTCTCCTAGCTTTCTCCAGTTATCTCTCCATTTTTCTCACACAGATATTTCCCCTAATAAAATACTTACAAATTTAATCCCATTTTGGCTCTGCCTCTAAGGAGACCAGGACTGACCCAATTTCATGTGATGTAACTATACACTTTTTCTGAATTTTTTTAAACCCTGTGCTACGTAAACCTTGCCTTAGTCACTACTTTAACAACAAGCTCAAATAATAGTAATAATAATAGCAACAACAATTAACCTTTTACTGTATGTGCATTTTCTCATTTGTCCACAATGAGAAAAATGTGACTATTATTCCCACCATACAAGATGAAAAAAGAGTGAAAGAGGGTAACTTGCCCAAGTCACCCAGTTAATAAAACAATGGAGCCAGGACTTAAACCCATAAAACCTAAGTCCAGAATATAATACATCTTTTTAAATACTACACTATGCTGTTAAGTAATTGACCTGCTAAATCAACTATGTTGATATAAGTTTGAAATCTTTGCATCCATTTAAAAAGTTATAAAGATTCAATTTATTATCTACATAGCTAATCCCAAAGTGCTCCCAAACTCCCAAACAGTATAGGATAAGCATGGACATTATATATAACTATGATTCAGGAAAATATTTTTGCTGCTACAGGCATTCATTCATTTATGAGTGACAACCTTGTGCCAGGCAAGGGTTATGATAATAAAGGGCACTATTCTCTCTTTAAAGAGGTGAAAATTATAAAAAGAGCTCGATTTAAGCCAATATCCAACTTTAAAATGGTTCTAAACATCTGATTACCATTTACCATGTGATTGTCACAAAACAACTCTTGAATAAAAATTTCACCTCTCTACTCATTCCTGTATATTTTTTCTTGATTTAAAAGCATTGCTTTTAATAAGTGTCCCTCTGTCAGGACCGTTATGATTTCATTGGTCAGAAATGGCTAATTAGAACAGAAGGTCTCAAGCATATCTCCACCTTCTGGCAGGTGTCATTCTGTGTTTGTCAGTCACCCACATTAGGAAATGGAGTGGGTCACAATAAAGGTCAAATATAAATGCAAAATGACTGTTGTTAAAATCTCAAACACCAATTACCATTTCCTGGTTACCTTGGTTGCACTCATGCACATATCAAAATATTCTATTAACTCATGAAGTAGCAGAGAATAGTGCAAAGATGGACTTTAACATAAGACATATTTGGGTTTACATCCTATTCTACCACTTACTGACTCAAAAGATAGGCACATTTCTTAACCTCCCTGAGCCTCTGTTTCCTTATTTGATATTTATTGTGAGAACTAAATGAGGCATTTTAAGGAAGGTGTCTTGCATTATAAGTAGATGCCCAGTAAATGCCTTTTACTATCATTACAAGTCTATCTCCCTTGCCAGGCTGGCAGCTCCTTCCAGACCCATCTTAAGGTCATATATCCTCAGAACCTGACACAGCACCTAACACAAATAGATGTTTAATAATTATTCATATAATGAATTAATGAATTATTTGTGCTCTAGATAGTGGACTCTAAAGATACAAACACATGGGTAACCTTCTGGACCAAAGCTACCTTCAGCCATGATTCATAAAAGCAATTCTAATAACTCTTGAACCTAATTCCAAAATGCTGGCTTACTCTAAAAGGTCAATATGCACAAGTTTAGAATACAAAGAGAAAATTTCTATCTGTCATCTTGCAATGGCATTTAAACATAAAAGGCCTGGAAAGTAAGGGTGGGGTAGAGTATGACAAAGGGAAAGCTAGGGAAATTATGAGAAAGAGACAAAATATGTAAAAGCAATGGTGATTTCATCTTTAGGAAAGAACTCACCTGAAGCACAGATTAATAAATGATAGTAGCAACCACCTACGTGGTACTTTTCATCCTCAAAGCTCTGGATCAACAATTAACATACCTTCTTTGCATGTAAATGAAGTACACAGATGTCATTTGACAGGTGGATGGTGGATAAGTAGAGATAAAGATCCTCAAATGTATTCCCAATGTCATCTAGAAAACTCCTAAGAAAGTCAAGGTGGGGCTCAGGGTTTATGGTCATCACACTTGACCTTCTTTAATGATAAGATGATGTAAAGAAAAAAAATAATTCTATGACAGAGTATGACAAAAAGAACGGAGAGAGGAGAAAGACAAAGCAGAGATAAAAAGGAGAGAAGAGAAACAAACATTTACTGAGTTCTTATGTTACTTAGTATACGTATTATTCCACTTAATCCTCAAATCAATCCTTGGTTTGGATTTATCGTCAGAAAACTAAGGATGAGAAATGGTAAGAAGTTTGTCCAAATCAGGCACCTGGTAAATGAAAAACTTGGAATTCACGCCCAGGTTTTCCTGACTCTAGAGGTCAAGATATCCTAATATCCTTATCCACAAGGTATCCACAAGGTAATGAAAGGAACCTGATGCCAGGAGGGAGTGAGCACATATGCAGGTATCTGCACACATGAGTCAAACAAGATCATGGAAGGGAAACACCAAGTGCAATAACCCAATTGGCCACTATTCCAGTTATATGCAAAAAAAAAAAAAATAGTTTCTGCTTATTCTTTATAAATTACAGAATTATAAGCCCAATTTGAGGCTTATAATTTACATAAGATTATAAGAAAAACTATTTCCCTTGTTGGGATAGTTTGAACTATCCCAGGCAGGAAAAGTAAACATTTTATTTCATCTTCATATCCTCAGCACTGTTAAAGGGATCAATGACTATTTCAGATTTATAGATTAAAGATTGATTTTTCCAGTGCAAGTAGACACCAGAACATAGTACTCTGGAGTTGGACTACCTGGGTTCAAACTCTGACTCCTCTACTTATTAACCATGTGTACTTGAGCTAATTATTTGATACTTCCTGCCTCAGTTCCCTCAATAGTAATATGTGTGTCAGGAGATAATAATGAAGATTGAGTGAGCCAAAGAATGTTCAAATATAAAATGTTAGCTATTTGTCCCATTATAAAATGCATCACTCAGTTTTTAAGTCTGGTTCTCTTATCACTGGACTGTGCTAACTCCCCATGTAGTTTTGTTACCCTCCATAGAACAAATAGCACTCATTTTAGTTTTGACCAAAAAGAGATGTCATTGCCAAGAAATGAACTTGATTGCTTTTAAATGTCATGTCCTCACAGTGAGATATACCAAATTGCTCCCTCTTACTTCCATTCAAGTATGTGTGAGCAATGACTTTTATTTAAATTCATAATGGCATTTACTGCCTACAATATGATAGATACAGACAGAGCAGAATGATAATCAGCAAGTGGCTATCATTTGATCCTGTTTTATTCTGTTCACTTTCCTTCATCCATCTCTCTTTACAAATAAGAATCTAACTTTGTCACTGATAAAAATTTACGAGACTATTACAAAGGTATTCTGAAGCTTATATTGTGCCTTTAAAATAATAAACAATAAAAAAGTATCAAATTCCCTAGAAATGATGCAGATGGTAGCATGTGGTTAGCCATTTTAGAGCAAGCCAAATGCCTTGCTCTAAAGGCAAACCACAGAAGTGGGAAATCCTCCGTGTTACTTGAAGACGTGAAACATAAGGGTTTGTCAAGGTTTACTAAACTCTAAGTGAAAAGATGGGCATCGAGGAAAGGGCTTTTGAAATATTAAAGAACAGGTAAATCTCTGCAGCACTATTGATTTCAAAAGCACGTAGGGAATATTCAGAACAGGAAGAAAACATGAAAAAGTCATTGTGAAACATTGTGCATACCATCTCCACTGTCAGTGACTTTAAGTAGAAAATACAGTATCAGCTTTAAAAAAAAAATGCCTCACTAAGGGTATTTTATTGATGTGTGTTCATTTACTAGAGGCCTCTTAATTCTCATGGGTTCCTAAAACTCAGAAATCCTACAAGTGTGAATAGTGTTTTATAAGCAAAATTAATGTCTTCATTGCTGAATGTGATATTTTAGCCTTTAAATGTGCCTTATTAGCAGGGTTTTATAAAAATGGAAATGTAGATCTGTTACCATTTACATACTTCAGCTTGGCTGACCTTAAGATATTATTTCAGTCTGGCATTTATCTTGGTATCATAAAGCAAGCACTCTCATCCATGCATGAATTCCACATCACAATTTATCTAAACTAGCCACCACCTAAGATTTGAATGTAAAGACCTAGTCAATTAAATAAACACTGGAAAACATTATACTGTTTGCTTTCAGATTTATTATAATCTGACCCATTGAATAAGAATGATACATGTTGTGTGTGTATGTGTGTGTTTGAGACAGAGAGAGGAAAGGCAGGATTTGAAAGGATACTCTGCCTTTTCTTGGTTAATCTCAGACATCATTTCTGCTAGAAATAGTCATTTTGTTTCCAAACACTTGAAGCTAATTGCTGGTTTGCTAGGGGAGGATAGGGGTGTTATTTCCAATGACACTGATGCTGAGCACAGTTGTTTCAACATTCTCTCACAGTCACCACCTGCCTCTGTAAGGCAAGTCTGCATAGTGGGAGAGATGGTGTAGAGAAAAGAGTGTCAAACTAGAAATCAGAACACCCGGGTGACAGTAGCATTAACATTTATTACTTAATTTGTGGCCAAAAGCAATTCAACCCCTCAAAACCTTGGCATTGTACATTAAATACAGAAAGTTGAAATAAACATTACTGAAAAAAACTTACAATTCTAAACTTCTCTTGTAAGAATCATTTGCTTGGCAGAAACAGTGAGGCCCACCTATATTTTATAAATGAGATTAAAACTGAATCGCCACTGCTTTTGAGCTCTGAATGACACTGACTGTCTGGCAAGGTAGAATTGAAAACATTTCTGAATTCATTTGGAAAGAAAACGACTTTAATATCCTGGACCTTGGAACAATACCTTTAATAAACAAGGCTGTTCTACTTTGGACTGACCAAGGAAAACATTTCAATAAACTACTCATCTATATAAAGAAGGTTCTGATCCAAGCAGTTCTGGGGGAAAAAAAAGATGTAGTGAAAAAATACTTGCTTTTCTTATTTAGGGTAATACAAATATACAGAAAAAACTGAATTCCAGAAAGAGAGTATGAATACTTTAGTTATTTAGTATAAAATCAAAGTCCCTAAATATTTTCAGTCTCTTGAAAATTAAGAAACCAGTAGGCTATAAACAAAGTTTTTCTACTCTCCATTCTCTGGGAAGTTTCTTCATACATCTATTTAGCAAAATTTTGATCATCTCTAATATTTCTGACAGTGTACCAGGCATATAAAGATAAGTCACATGTGGACCTACTCCTAAAGAGCTGACAGTCCAGGAAAGCAGACCTGTGAACAAGAAATTATTGTGCAATGTAATAAATGCTTTGATAGGCATTTATACAAAATGTAATAGAACACAATGGATTAAGGTGGACTTATTGGGTCTAGAGTTCTCTAAGAATGTAACATTTTATAACTTGAGAATAAATCATAAATCAATTGTGGAAGGAAGGAAGAAGGGGATGCTATTCTTTCAGTATGACATAGCACTGACTATGTGTCAAGGAGTGACAAAGACAAATACTGAGCAACTAATTATAAGAATGATGAGTGAAGCAAAAGAGAAGTATGATAAAAGAGCATCTAACAGGACAATCTAGTTAGACTGGGAAATCATAGAGGACTATTCCATGAAACCTTACAAGCTGCCTTAAGGAGGATGAGTAGGACTTAGCTGGTCATAAAGCCAATGACACTAGCATGACTGAGGTCCTGATGTGTGAGGAAGGATGGCTTGCTCACAAAACTCAATAAAGAATATGGTGGCTGTGGAGTAGATTACAAGGATAAAAGTAGTATAAACTATCAGAAAAGTCAGCAAGCACCAGATCTGGAAAGACCTCATAGGCCACAGGAACATCCTACAGATAATAGATTGGGATAGAACAACCATGGAAAGAGATCAGTTATCACAGTAGTCCAAAGGAGAGATGATGGTGGTCTGGACTAAAATGGTAGAAACAAGGATAAGAAGATGATGATAAAGTCAAATAAGTCAGAAAACAGATCAGACCTTGGTAATTGAATGTGAGGGATAAAGAAAAATGAGGCTTTTACGATAATTCCAGGGTTTCTTCAATGAGAATCTGGCAGGACACTGAGATAGAGGCTACTGGAAGAAAACTACAGATGGAAAGGAGGTAACATCAAGTGTATCATGTGGGGCATGTTGTACTTCAGGTACCAGCAAGGCACTAAAATGAGGGTACCATTGAGCAGTTGATTAAAATAGCTTTAGACATCAGAAGATGAATGAAAGTTGGAATAGTGATAAGTAAAGTCATGGGAGTGGATAAGAGTGAATTTGAAACTGAAAGTGTAAAACACATTTACATACACTGATATAGAATACCAGGAAACTGGAGAAAGTTAGAGAGGCAATAGCCTAGATATCTTGGCCGTGCCATGAGATATGACAGAGTCCAGAGCCTCCTTCTGAATTCATCTACCCTATACCCTTACTACTTATCCCCTTCTCAATTTTCATTCTGCCAGAGAGCCCCACAGAGCAAAGCATCAAGGTAAATCAAATATGAACTAGCGCAGTGTATCACTGTGTAGATCACAAATATTCAATGCCTTAAATACGTCCACTTAGAATTTGTATGAAAGTGTTCACTCATTCATTTGTTCAACAAATATTGATGAAGCACCTAACTATGGAGCAAGCACTGTTTTAAACACTAGAGATAGAAAAGTGAGCAAACTCTGCCTCTGAGAGTTTACATTGAGGTAGAGATACTCAGACAACAGTAAACAAACAAGAAACAGAGGATGAGAGTTCTCTGTGTACTATGAGAGAAATAAGCAAGGTAACAGGAGCAGACAGGAGGCTGATTTAGGTAGCTTGATCAAGCCTTTGCTTGCCTCAGGCCCCAAAGGGAAGCTAATACTACCATATCACCTGCCTGGGCCGCTAACACACACCTTGTTTATGTGATCCCATTCTTTCTCACTGGTGATAGAGACAGCTGTCCTCTCAAGAATCCCCATTGCTCAGTACCAAGTTGGTAACAAATTAATCTACTGAGCAGAAGAGTTCAAAAGGGGTTGTACAGGAGCATAGTATTTAACAGATGAAAGCTTTTAGCATCCCAGCCCTCACGCTGGTTTGTTGATGAGTTTTTAATTTCTTCCTCATGGCTTCTAGGATGAAATACCAAGTAAGAGAAAAAGCAAGAAAGTCATTCATTTGACCCCTAAAAACCTGGAAATTTTTACCCTTCCCTGACACAAATAAAAAAGAAATCTCATCAAATAATGCCTAAGTATTTCTATAGCATATATTCTTCCATGGAAAGAATAACCTATTTCATAATAGACAATTGTATTATTGTTCTGGAATTCCAATTTGGAAATTCAGATCTTAGGCCACTGGATTAATACTAAAGTTAAACATGAAAAAATATGTAAGTACTTGGGTTGGAGTCCAACACTGTGCTTTATAATAAGATCTGAGAGGAATCACAAAACCTCTCTATCATCGAGCCAAAGGGGTTAAATGTTCACCACTAGACCTTTGTTTTAGTGTTATCTCCATAAGATCTCTATTAAAATGTATTTGTTACCTTGTCAAGGGGATGATACCAAGAACCAATGCATTTTGAGGCAAAAGTGAAAGGCTGAGACAGCATTGGGAGGCACTTTGTAGGCAGAACAGATTCAGGTGGCAAATGCCACAAACTGTGACAAGGCAGTGTGATGTCATTGGCACCTTGAAGAAGGAATATCACTAGGAAGCATGGAAGATACCAGGAGAAACATTGACTCCTGGAAACTAGAATTGGCAGAACCTTAAAGTTGAGAAGGTCAAGGCTCTTTCTTGAGGAAAACTGGGTCCCTGGGAGAAAAGGTATTTTAGAACATAGAAACTGAAAATTGAAAGAAACTCTTGAGATTGGGCACAATTCTCAATATTACTCAGTCATAATAGACCCCAGAGAGGCTTCTGAAAAGTACAGATTCCCAGACCCTTCCCCTTCCCACCACCAGCAACTTTGATTCATTATATCTTGGGTTATTCTCAGAAAACTTTTTTTAAAAATTGAAATACCATTTGACCCAGCAATCCCATTACTGGGTATATACCCAAAGGATTATAAATCATTCCACTATAAAGACACATGCACACATATGTTTATTGCAGCACTGTTCATAATAGCAGAGACTTGGAACCAACAAAAATGCCTGTCAATGATAGACTGGATAAAGAAAATGTGGTACATATACACCATGGAATACTATGCAGCCATAAAAAAGGATGAGTTAATATCCTTTGCAGGGATGTGGATGAAGCTGGAAACCATCATTCTCAGCAAACTAACACAAAAACAGAAAACCAAACACCACACGTTCTCACTCCTAAGTGGGAGTTGAACAATGAAAACACATGGACATGGAAGGCAGGGGGGCATCACACACTGGGGACTGTCGGGGGGTGGGGGGCTAGGAGAGGGATAGCATTAGGAGAAATACCTAATGTAGATGACGGGTTGATGGGTGCAGCAAACCACCATTGCACCTGTACACCTATGTAACCTGCACGTTCTGCAGATGTATCCTAGAACTTAAAATATGATAAAAAAAATCCACATATAAGCAAAAAAAGAAAAATGACTTATCTAGCAAATTTGAGAACAACTCCTCTTTACGTTGTAAGAATTCCATCTATTCGGTCCTTTATTCATCATGCAGCCTTTGGTAGTCTTAACATGCTAGTTCTAAGGTCACAGAGCTCACTAATTAGAGGGCTGGAATTTATGATCTTAATATAACATATTTATTCCACCTTTTCACTCATTTCAAATATATCTGGAGTTGACAATTCTTAGTGCAGCCCTAATAGCCCCAAATGATATAAATATTAATATTACTCATACTATGGAATTTGATTTTGTGCCTGGTAAAATTTGTTTTTTTAAATGACAATTAGAATTAATAGATAATATAGAAACTGTATTTCCTGAATGAATCTCTAGAAGGTATTTCATTCCCTTATTCTCCATATGGGCAGAACCCTATGAAAAATAACATCTCCTCTTGAGTTCTACATCCATAAAAAAAATATAGAATATAGCTCAGGTGATAGATATAATGATGATTAAAAGGAAGGAAAATGACACCTGTGAGAAAAGGTAACAGAAATTGGAATTACCTACTCTAGAGAATGCTGGCAAGTGATATTCTTCTAGTACATAGAGAAATATTATACATAATGGTGACTGGCTGAGCCCCATTTTAACTGCCAGAAAATTTTTTAAATGGGCCTGATACTCATTTCTTTCTCTGAGCTAAACTTAAAAAGAATTAAATTGATGGTAAGAAAATGTTGATAAACATATGATCTGATTAGCAAAGATGAATTGTCATCCACTAAATGATTTTTTACCAAACGAGTTAAAAAACAAGAACTAAACTAAACTAAAATATATTTGCAGCTCATTGTGATGATGTAAGTTGTGAGACTATTCAGTGGCTGAGGCCACAGGGCAGTTCTTTGAGGGAACATGATGGTGTTGCCTGGGACACTTAACAAAACTGATTACAAAATGTCATTTAATTAAGCAAAGAGAACTCTGAGGACTTTAAAGTTTTCTCTGCCCCTAGTTGCAGTCTTCACCTTGTTCCCCAGCTCCACCCTCATACTAATATGAATCATAGGAGGCATAGATTGTACCAAGCTGTAGTAGTTTGTTGAACCCTCCTGGCTGAAGCACAATGCAAGATTGGTGTTAAAGACCATGGTAGTAACGAATGCATTTCAAATAACATGTGTTTACAATTATAGATAAGCACTGCAGGCTCATTAACTATAAATGAGGTAAATCTGAGGAGAAATGTAGTTTTCTTCTAGACTTCCTGGAAGAGGTGTTTTTGTCACCATTTCATAGCCTTTGCAGCTATTACTTAGAAGATAAAAGTGGGATCACTAACATTTCAATTAACGCTTTCCAATAACATGAGCAGACAGACACTATTGTGTATAAATCAACTGTATCTAAGATGATGTGTAGATAAATAGGTTAAATAGAATGCTCTTATCATTCTTGAAAATAAAATAGTAGGATGGTTGCTGATTCCCTTTACAAACACGACATCTATAAAACTGCTTTCTTCCTGAGGATTGTTCAATAGGAGTGCCTGGGAAAGGGCTAGGAAATAACTTTCCAGGCAAGGCACTAACAGTAGAATTGAACTTTCATTAGTGCAGAGTGTAACCACAAGGCTTCAGCTCATATTGTCTAACTTTACAGCTTCCAAAAGGCCTGAATTGAAGACTCAATTTCCATATTGCAGAGTTGTTTTCCTAGGAGCCCTTTACATTATTTATTTTTACAGTAATACGCTGGAGAACTCAGTAGCAAGTAGACCAACTGTCCCATGGTTGGAAAGTTATCCTAAATGAGTACCAAAATCAGCTGAATCAGTGTTCCTAACATTCTAATGAACATCTGAAACACCTGGCAATATTGTTTAAACTATAGATTCTGATTCAATAGGCCTGGGATGGAGCCTGAGAGTCTGTGTTTCTAGCAAATCCTAACTGATGTCTCTGCTGATTCATAAATCACACTCTTGAGTGGGGAGGGTTAGATTATTTGCAAAAGCCTATTCAGTTTAGCACTCACTTGATGATCACTTACTCTTTGCCAAATACTTTGGGTGTGGTCTTCTAACGTTGCCTCATTAAAAGACTACAATATTATTTACAGAATATACTTCAGTTTGTGTGGTGGAGTTTAATAGTATTACTAAACTTCCCACATCAAACAAACAAAAAAAATCTCCTGAGGTTTATTTAGGGTGATTTTGTGGAATTAAGGTGGATCCTGGACATTAGCATTACCAGATAATTCTTATCATTAGCCTGGAAACACTTCTTACTATTACCAGGGGATGTATGCATTGGAGTTGCCAAGACCTTGATTTGAATCCTCATTCTTTAATTTCATGGCTATAACTTTAGGTACATTTCTTAAGTTCTCTCTTCTTTGATTTTCTTATCTAGAAAACTGAAGAAACAATACTAATCTTTAAGGATTGATTTGAGGATTCAGCAAAATAATGTACATAAAAGCCTAAGCACAGTGTCTGACACATAGTAGGTGTTCCAGTTACTATTGCTGCATAAAGATCACCTCAATCTGAATGGTGTTGAACAACCAATCTCACAGTATGCCATGGATTCTGAGAGCCAGGAATTTGGAAAGGGCATGATAGCCTCAGGGTAGTCAGACTTTTGATGTGATACCTCAAGGCTTCAAGCAGGAGTATGACAATGACAGGCGGAGGCTGCATCTTTCATAACCTAGCCTCAAAGGCCACATAGCATCACCCTCACCACATTCTATTTGTTACAGCAAGCCCTCCTATAGTCAGGAATAGGAGAATCAGACTCCCACTATCAACAATACAGCAGCAAAGTCTCATTGTAGAAGAGCATGTAGGACAGCTCTCTTTGGAAAATAAAGTCAGCCACAGTAGGCAAACAATTTTCTCCTCCTTTTGGATGGAAAACTTTCTCTTAGTTGGCTTGGGCTGCTGTATTACTATAGACTGGTTGGCTTATACAACAGAAATTTATTTCTCATGCTTCTGAAGACTGGGGAGTCCAAGAATAAGGTACCAGCCAATTAAAGTTCTTATAAGGGCCATCCGCCTGGTTATGTCCTCACATGGCAGAAGAAGGGGGAAGGAGGAAGAAGAGGAAGGGGAGAAGGAGGGATCTGGTTTCTTTCTCTTCTTAGAAGGACACTAATCCCATTTATAAGACACTGCCCTCATGGCCTAATTACCTCCCAAAGGCCCCACCTCCAAATATCATCACACTGGGGATTAGGCTTCAACCTGTGAGTTTTGGGGTCACAAACATTTAGACCATAGCATCTATCAGATAGTTGTGCTAGAGTGACATTGTTCAGTATCTTTGCCTGGCAAAAACTATCTTGGGTCTTTGGTCCTCCAGAGGTCACTCTTTTTACTAATTGCATTTCTGTCTAGCTCTTAGTCCAAGAACACCTCTAGCAGTTCTTAGTTTACAATCATGACTAAGTATATTCACAGAGGTGTTGGCCCTCACCCCAAAGTGTGGGCAGAGGCCATCTCCTTCAGTCATGGGACCTTGTGGTCATTACAGAGATTTTTTAAAGCAAACAACAGCTCTTTTTCCTGAGGCTGAATACATCTAATTTCTCTGGATAAGGGGAAATGATGGCAAGCTCCCTGATGGCAAGAGACCTAACTCTGATTATCCTCATTTCTAGATTGAAATTATATTGCAATATATAGTTCAGAGTTAGTACTCAATACTGTTTCATGAATTCAGTTCAATTCTTTGTGTTCTCATACAACTTTCTTTCCTCTCCAAATTCTTTTCTGAATCTGGTTCACCATCACTAACCATTTCCCCCATATTTCCCCCAGTTGGACCTTTAAACAGCCTATTTCCATTACTCAGAGCCATATAGAACAACCACAGAAGTACCACTTTTCACTCATTTTCCTCATCTCAAATAAGTTACTTTTCAAGCACATAGTTAAAAATGAAAGCACTAAGAACTTCTTTAAAGTCCCATTAACTTCGCATTCACTGTTCAGCTAATCTGAGAATCTATTGCCAATTAATACAGTCACTTCCTCTTGTAACACTATTCTTAACAGAACTGGTCAATCTCCGTCATTCAAGAGTGATAACTATCTGTCAGGAGAGGTCTCAGTACTGGCAATAAGGAACAAGTTTGAAATGGACAACTTTGACATTGCAGCCAGGATAGAGGCAGGGGGAGAAAAGACCCAAGTGGGAATCAAATACAAGTAATAAGCAAGGTCCCAAGACCCAGTCAGGGATAGAAACTACAGATTAGGAGACAATTCAAGTTAGAATAAGACACAGTTCTCTTTCCTAGGGAAATTAAATAAAATGGGCAGGAGGAAGATAAATACAAGATAACTATAACACAAGACAGAAGATGATATAGTGCAAAAAGAGACAACAGAGTCATAGGAAATTTGTGGAAGATCTTAATGGAAGAAATGTCATTTTAACCAAATATGACCCTATCCCTCAGGAGAAAAGAAAGCTCTTTAGAAAGACATGCAAAGTTCATTGTGGTCTACTCCCTAGCTATAGCTCCTCTCCCAGTTCCCCTACCCCAGCCCCATTCATATATATTCCATCTACTTTTCTCCTCTGGTTAACTCCCAAATCCCAAAAGTTCTTGAAGACTCCCTTCAGTTATCTCTTTCTCAGAAAAGGGAATTAGTGACTAAGTCTCTGTTTCTGTCAGCCTATTATAGCTGAGCATAAAGCTCTTCTGGCACATAGTACAGAACATTTGTATTTACCATATTTACTCATCTTATTCACTAGACAGTAAATTTCTTGAGGGCAGAAACCTTTTTTTATCTTTATCCTTGTATGTTTAGTACAATGCTTGACAGATTATAGCACTGACCAAGCAGATGTTTAATATATGAATGAGAATCTGAAGTCAAATCAGAAGTTAGATCAAGTGAGAAATATTTTAGCAAAGAAGATTCAGTGAGAACTTACTGTTTTTCAGTCCCCATATGTATGAGTGTAAATGTGTATGATCTAAACCAGGAGTCCACAAACATTGGCTTTTGTACCAAATCTGGCCCGCCACCTGCTTTTACACAAACTTGTAATGGAACACAGCTACACTCCTTTGTGTGTTTTCAATGACAGCTTTCATACTACTAGGTCAGAGTTGAGTAGTTGATACAGAAACCATATGGCCTGCAAAACTTAGAATATTTATTATCTGACCCATTACAGAAAGTTTGCCAACCCATGAGCTAAACATCAAGAGGTGGAATATTTAAAATAAAGTGTATTGTCTCTAAATAATATATTCTGTAGACAATTTATATTGGCTCAAAAAAGACCATTTTTTTCCTGTGAATATCCCTCCATGTACTCTCTACTTTTTATTATTACCACATTAATACAAGGCCCAGCTCCATGCCTGTCTCCCCCATTGCTTAGTCTCCTACAACAGATGCTGTAAAATAGCATGCACAGGAGCCTAGACTCTGCCCTCTAGGAACTTAGAATTAAGACAACAATGTAACTGGCAGGAGCATTCTCCATCCTGTAAACCACAGACTATCAAAGACAGTATATGTAGCAGAGGGGCCTATCCCATGGAATACAGAGAAAAACATTAAGGAAAGTCAGATATATTTGAACTATTCATAGTTTTGGACCATCACTTTCTTAGTCTACTAGAAAGTTTTAAAAAGCTTGACTGTCTTAAGAACTTAGGAAACTATAGTCAACTCAGCCTCATCCCTTCCTTCTCCAGGCAATGGGGCTGTTAAGTAAATCAATGAATTAAACCAGGCAAATCAGGTATCACATTTGAAATCTTCCAAAGTCCTGGCATGGTGCTGTACAGCTGAGTAACTGCCCTTCACCTCATCATCTTCCCTCCTCTTGACAGGCTTCTGTTTGTCCTACCACTTTGGAGTACTCAGGTGTGACTTTCCCCATATGTTTACTGTCCTTCATTTGCCACACACAGAGCAGGGCATCTATGTCCATATCTGATATGTTGGTTGGGATTTTATCATTTAGCTAGTGAGCAGGTAGTGAAACTGGTAAAGTAACTGCAATGAAGTCAAAGCCTCTCACAGTGAAATCAGTGGTAAAGATACACAATGATTGTTACAGGGCTTGTGGTGATACACAGGGTCCAGAGAAACTTAATTCCTTTATTTCCAGGGGAGTTTTTGTTGATACACCAACTTTTCCTAGTATAAAAAAAGCACCTTCCAAGATAAGGAGTTGACACTTGACTTGGTGAATTTATCCCCAAAGAAGGGGGCACTCTTTTGTCTGCTTTCGTTCCACCTTTGTAGAATGAGTCCAGATGCAATCACCCCAAATTACTTCTGATTAGCTTCCTTTTGTGAGATAATTTCAAGCAGATTTTTTTTTTAGTTGAAGAATGCTGATGACCCTTAGATGTAGTATGGTGCAATGGTTAAGAGAAGGATTCCCAAGCTGGACTGTCTGTTCAAGTCTCTCCTGACTATAGCAAAGTAATCTCTTCTTATCTTTGTCATCTGTAAAGTGATGATGATAGTGTTTACTGCTTGAGGATGTTGGAAGGATAAAGCGAGTTAATATATCTAATCTAACATTCTTAGAATAGTGTCTGGTGTATAACGTGTTCCATTTTTTTAAAGAGAGTATTATTGTGTTACATGTTATTCAGCACAGAAGTGACACTGTCCTATTAATAGCAGAAAAATATTTTTGAACAAAATGTTAGTTTATGCTTCTAATTCCAAACACATTCTTTACTAACATGGAGGAAAGCTAATATTTCTAAATTGTTAACTTTACCATTTTTCATTAGCAATAAAGGAATTCACTTATGGCTTATGTATTGGTTGTAATTTAAAGAAAATTAATATATACGCATATGAAATTATGTATGTACATACACAAACTTTTCTAACAGGATCTGAGTGAATTATTTGTATGTTCTTATAGAGTAACAAATAATTTACAAATCACACAGAAAAAAAGTCCCATATTTCTCACATTGCTTTGATCATAAAGGATTAATTACATTCTTTCAATAACCCAGCATAACTACATTACTATTAAAAATGGCATAACTCGGCCGGGCGCAGTGGCTCATGCCTGTAATTCCAGCACTTTGGGAGGCTGAGGTGGGTGGATCATGAAGTCAAGAGGTCGAGACCATCCTGGCCAACATGGTGAAACCCTGTCTCTACTAAAATTACAAAAAATTAGCCGGGCGTGGTGGCAGGTGCCTGTAATCCCAGCTACTTGGGAGGCTGAGGCAGGAGAATAGCTTGAACCTGGGAGGCGGAGGTTGCAGTGAGCCGTGAGCCAAGATCACACCATTGCACTCCAGCCTGGGCAAAAAGAGCAAAACTCTGCCTCAAAAAAAATAAAATACCATAACTCAGCCAGGCACAGTGGCTCATGCCTGTAATCCCAGCACATTAGGAGGCCGAGGCAGGCAGATCACTTGAGGTCAGGAGTTCAAGACCAGCCTGGCCAACATGGTGAAACCCGCCTCTACTGAAAATACAAAAATTAGCTGAACATGGTGGCACATGCCTGTAATCTCAGCTACTCAGAAGGCTGAGACAGGAGAATCACTTGTAACCGGGAGGCGGAGGTTGCAGTGAGCCAAGATCGTGCCATTGCACTCCAGCCTGGGCGTCAAGAGCGAAACTCTGTCTCAAAAACAAAAGGCATAACATAACTCATAGCCATAGAGGAAAGCTATTAAGAAGTGTAAAGGGCTTCACTAGAAAGGGATGGCCCAGCAGTTGACTTCTTAGGAGCTCATTTTTCCAGCATTGCACCTGTTACTTCATTTATTTTGTGCAAGTTCATAAGGAAAAGTAGCTTTTCAGAAACATATTCCCAAATTAACTTCCAAAATAATTACGTAACAATTATTGGTCAGACCAACTTTCTTCCAACAGTTTTAGTCTCCTAGATCTTAAAAATAGGCCGTTTTGCATGCTAACCTACATTCCTTGCTTTAACTCTTTCGCCATTTATTTTCTAAACCTTAGCATTATGTTTTCCACTGCAACTAATACGCAGGGAAAAGGAAACTTTGAGGGTCACTTCTAATCTTCTACTTGCCAAGTACTCACAAAATGGCCTTTTCTCTGCCCTCATTTTCACGGAATCTGCTAAGACAATTTAATAGGGTCAGCTATCACTATGTCTTGACAAACCTCCTTCTATGACTACCCTTTTTTGAATGTCCCTGCTCTGTCTCCTAGCCCGGCTGTGTTTTCTGTATGTCCCCCTCAAATCTAGGCATTCTTAAGTTTCCATCCTTGGCTGCCATCTGTAAAATGCCACCTTTCTCAATGAGCTCAATTAGTGCTATGATTTCAATCATTACGACAAGCTTGACTCCCTTCCTAACCTCTGTAGAGCTATGACCTGTATTTCCATCTATCTTTTGGATTCTTTTGATTGAATATTGGCTGCTCGAATTCTACTACTGAATTCATCATATTACCTTTTCCTTTCTCAAACAAGCTCCTCCTCCTAACTTTCCACTTTTAGTAGTTCTTTCTTTTAGTCACCTGGGTTTAAATCCTAGGAATCATCTTTGATTTTTCTCTCTCCTTAGTCATTACACAAAATCCATTACCAAATTATCTTGTTCCTTCACATGAAATGGCATTAAATTCTGCCTCCATGATTCTTTCCATGTCCCTGCAAAACTACATAGATCTTGCTTTTATTAAACTCTATGAAAATAACAATATTCAACCAGTTTTGATGAATAAAAAAGCTAATTTTACATGGTTTAACCTAATATACTGCCGGATTATTTGGTGTTATACAGATTTGCCTTCTCATGTGATCTTGGACAAATTATCCCTTTCATTCTTAATTTTCTTATTTAAAAATATTGTCAGATTGGATTGGCTATACCTATCTCCTAGGATTTTTGAAAATAGGTTTGAGAGTGTAAAGGGTAACAGCATCATGTATGCTAGAATGTGAACATCTTGATGGTTACCTGTGTCATGTTCCAGGAATAATTATTCAGCTGCCCCATGAGGAACATAATGGTATTCAAGTAACTATTAAATGACTGAATGACTGATTCAATGAACACATCTAAGAATCTGAACCCACATCTTAATTTTTTTTTATCTTAAATGACCAAGGCTAGTGACTGAGTCTGCTTTTTATTTTTTATCACCAACGCCTAATACAATGGCTAGCTTATAGGAAATAATATGTATTTGTTGAGCTTAATTTAACTGTATTTTTCTAAGGTATTGAGGATTGGTAATTTATAAACACTGAATAAACCTAGAAGTAGAAATAAAAATTTTATTTCTAATAGCTACTTTAACGAAGCACTGAGATGTTAAATTTTAAAGATGTGAATTATATTCTATATGGACTATCTTTTGCTTATTCAAAATATATGTATTAAGAGCCTTCCATTTTTAAGAAATATTGGGAAACACAAGAGTATAAATGAAAAAGTTTCTGACTGTAAAAAGCATATGAGTTAGCAGACGAGAAAAAAACAAATAAATTTTAACCCAATGTGTACTAAGTGCCTTAAAAACAGAAATATCTAAGGCCTGTATTATCAGGACTCAAGCACATACAAGTAAGAGGCAGATCCAAGGTAGGGCAGAGGAAAAGTCTCAGACAGATTAGAGTGGGGGCTGGAAAAATGAACCTGGCTATAGAGGCAGTTGTTAGTGTTCAAATAGTATAGCAAGTTCAGATATGATTCAAGCAGAGATTTTAGTTCAGAGACTATAGTTCAACCAATACGGCACAGTAATAATGGTGTTAAGAACAAAAACAATAATAACAGCTAATATTTTTGAGCATTTACTATGTGGCAGGCAATGTTCCAAGGATTAACTAAGTTCATCTTCACAACAGTCCTATAGACTAGATATTAACACTATGCCAATTTCCACACAAGGAACGTAAGGCTTAAAAAGATTCAATAAGTTTCCAATGGTCATAGGGGTAGCAAATGGAGGAGTAAGTGGTAGGTGGAGACCAGGAATTAAGTACCAATTAAAGTGAAGTGGAAAATAATTCTGGAATATCATTTATTTCACAGAAGAATAGAGAGGTAGCCAAAAAACATTTAGCACCTCACACGGCAAGACCAAGGGACTGGCATGATCTAGATCAGTTCTACAGACTCCAAACATAGTGTTGGAATACAAACCCAGCAGGAAAGTAAAATTCTAAACAGCAAAACTGAGGCAGAAAAGCGCTATATATAAACAGAGACACTGTGGGGGAAGAAGTGATGGGGAGATAAGAAAGGCTGAGATGGCCGGGCGTGGTGTCTCACGCCTGTAATCCCAGCACTTTGGGAGGCTGAGGTGGGTGGATCACGAGGTCAGGAGATCGAGACCATCCTGGCTAACATGGTGAAACCCCATCTCTACTAAAAATACTAAAAATTAGCCAAGCATGCTGGCAGGCATCTGTGGTCCCAGCTACTTGGGAGGCTGAGGTAGGAAAATGGCAGGAACCCAGGAGGTGGAGCTTGCAGTGAGGCAAGATCATGCCACTGCACTCCAGCCTGGGCAACAGAGCGACACGCCGTCTCAAAAAAAAAAAAAAAAGAATGGCTGAGATATAGAAGCTCTCCCTAGACTACTGGATTCCCATTGACAAAAGAAGGGCTGAGCTTAGACTCAGAAAATTATGGGCTTGAGGCTCTTGTCATTCTTCCTTCCTGAAGGTACCAGGAGGACTGGGCATGAAGATAGGGAATACCTGTAACTCCAAAAGGGATGGGCCAACTCCAAAATTTAAGAGTGGACAAATGTTGGAGTATAAGAGGACTTCATGGAGAAGATAAGAGTTTATTTGAGTCTTCAAGGAGTAGGAAGACTTATAAGGACAGGGAAAAAGGTTTTTGATGAAGCAAAGATGCAGCAGCGAAATAGGGAGTGTCAGGTTCTAACAGATCTGGGGGGAGTTGGTGGGTGAGTGGCGAATAGCTGGAAAAACACTCGAAGAATCATGGACAGTTTCAACATGACTTTACCCTCTCTCTGGGCACAAGCGAGCCTAGGTGCAAGTGAACCCAGACAACAGCCTGGGCACAGGCCATATGTACAGCATTAGCAGGGTAATTACACCTTTTACTGACACTAGTGGCTCCAAGCGAAGCACGAGCTCATGTAAGTGATCATCTAATACTCCTCAAGTGATGTGGTTACATAATAAGCGGAGCTGTGTGCCTGCACTCCAAACTCGCTGAGTCATGCTGAACCAGATGTCTGCCTTGGCCTATTCTTGACTGCAGCACATCCATTTTCCTTACAGGGAGTATCCAGTTTTACTGAGACTGTGTTTATTTAGGAAAGTAGCCAAAGAAAGTAGGGGGGAGAAAAGACATCAGACTGGGGACTCCAAAGAATACCTGATAGGCTATAAGGAGCCATATTTAGTTCTGAGACAGTGGGAAGGTATTTTCTTCTACTTCTAACTGTCCAAGATTGAAAAAAGAATGTGTTGAAAAATCAGTTAAGCATCAATATACAGTGTATATTGTTCTAAGCCATTTTGATCCCTCCATCATCCCCACTGCTCACTGGTTTTGGCCATTCATTGTTGAATTAGTTCCTTTTCTGGGAGAAGTATTAGGCAACACTCAGTCTATCAGTCCTGCTACTTATTAGCAATTCTGCCATTTGAAACTATAGGTTAAAATGAAATTTGGAGATTATTTCTGGATCCCATATCTCTTCCCTATTTCTGCACTTCAATAACATAGAATTAGTCATAAGCCATTAATCTATTCAGACATGTTAGGGTTACATAATTCAAATATTTATTTGTAAAGAATAATATCCTCATATTCCCATAAATGTCACACAGGAAGTCTCTCAGCATGCAGCCTCAAACCAAGCAAAGGCCTCTGACAATATAAATGTCCTTCACAGACAAACATACACACAGACAGATGTACTTCTATCCCCTGCTAATTTTAGAAACCTGATGAAACCCTTATTACACTTGTCCTATTTTCCTGTATCTTTCTCTGGCCTATCATTTTTATTTTCATTTCCACTTCCATAGTCCCCTCCTCATCCTCCTCTATATTCCCCCTTCATCACATACACCAGCTTAGTCAAATGAAGTCACAATTTTTTCTTTTATACACGCACCCCAATTTTTTTCTACTACACTTGATAGAAAATATGTAAATATTGTAAAAGCTCTTTTCTCAAATTTAAAATGTGTGAAGGCTTATTATTACTATTAGTAATGGTCTCACACATTTTGTTAAAATGGTTGGAAGGAAGGCAATAAATGGAGCAAGGAGAATAGTCTTTATTTGCATATGAAGCTGGATAAAAGTTTAAATGTGATAGTTAAGCTTAATCCACAAGAGACCATGCCTTTGAAGAGATTGTCTTAAAATAGCTGGAATGGGAAAGAGCGACTAGATGTGGTTAATGATGACAGGATCTTCTTTGCTGTTATTCTGCTTCTTCAGCCTTCAGTCCTAACTTATTAACAGCAGATATACCTGCTGTAGATCTCCACACTCCTCAGTACAAATAAATGCTCTATGCAAAACATTTGTTCTAGACCTCACATAGAATTTGTAAAATCAAGTAGAAATTTTTGAAGTCAGACAAAAAAAAATCCCACTTGTTGGCATTATACTTTCTAAGAAGCTTTATCTAACCACCAATTGACTGTGACTTCTAATTCTTCATTATTAAGTTTGTCTACTCTCTTATCTCCATTGTTAAATATTTGCTAATATGCATGCAAACAGTTACAACTACTGGAATGATCTGACCAGCAGGTTTTTAAAATATATTAATTATATTTTTCAGTGCTCCATTTATAAGCACTCATTTGGTTTTCATAACAACTCTGTAAAGTGGGTATTATTGTCCTAAACTTATAAATAATAAAACCATGTCAAGGAGCTACTAGTTCATACAACTACGAGTGGATGAAGGATCAAATAAAGCTGTCTACAGGTTTGTTTTAATACACAACACTGCCTTTCACAAACAAAAAGAAGTCTTTCATAATGGGACTAAGTACCATTTTACCATAAAGACTTCAATATTCGCATTATTACTTTATATAAATAAAGTTTAAAAACCCTGCAGAGCACTTTCTAATTCTTTGAAAACACTCAAATTGTATGTCTATCCTCAAAGCATTAGAGAGAAGCAGCACAGGAATTAATCACATTTTGCAGATGAGAAAACTGAGTTCAAGTGAAATATAGACTTGCCCAAGGCTGTATGGTCATTAAGCAATGAGACCAGAACTAACCCATGGTCTTCCTAGCTGACTTTTTCCACTGTGTTTGAAGAAGTCAACTTTGAAGTGCTGAGCTGAATTGTGCTTCAAATTCTGTCTGAAATGTACTAATATATACAGAAAAATATTCATATGGTACCAGAGAGAGCTGGTGTAGGGGAGAAAAGCTAACGGATACATGGTGATTGTTGGGGAAGGTGTTGTCAAGATCCTCATGGGAAGGCAGGTAGGCAAACGAGGAAAAGATCCAAAGTGATCTTCAGGGGCCAGATGCTAGTTCATTCTTCCTGCAGGTGGTGTGCCTTAACTCAAAGTGGGTGAAAAAGGCAAGAATTACTTGTTCAGTTAAATGCCAATGTGATTAATGTAGCTGCCAAAGTTCATGAAACATTTCTCTATTGGTTTGTAACAAACAAATCCCAAAATAAATAATGTCTCAACACAAAAGAAAGTTACGTTTTGCTCAAGCAGATTCCACTTGGGGTTTTGAGACAGAGTCGTGCTCTGTTGCCCAGGCTGGAGTGCCACTTGTGTATTTTTAAGGGAAACGTAGCAATTCTTCAGGCATAATCCAAAGAGACCAGGTGCTTTCCATCTATGGCTCTGCCATCTTCCACATGTGGTTTCCAAGGCCTTATGCTTGTCAGCAGTTCAGCCAGGAAAGAAAAAGAGCAAAGAAACCTTCCAGGGGAAGGTTTACATGAGACATATTCCGCTCATATCCCACTGGTAGAATCAGTCACATGGCCACATCTCTTTGTAAAGAAGGCTAGGAACTATGATCTTACTGCATGCACTCAAGAAGAGGAGAAACCAGATTTAATGAAGATCTAACATTCTCCCACAGCTCTGCTCATAGTGCTCTCTTTCATAAACTAAAATTTGCAGATGTGTGTTTCCTTAAAATTTAACCCATATCTAATGAGATTCTCCAGACAGGCTCATCAAAAAAAACAAATACATTTATTTTTACCATTGTGTCAGAAGTCCTACATCACCAGTCCTAGGGGCCATAAAGAAAAAAAAAACATCCAACTCCACTTCAAAAATGATCATTGGTATGATCGCTTTATAAATGGCCAAACTCAGCTGCTAGGTAAGATTTTAATTCAGCATGAAAACAGAAATAAGCAAAACCTTGAGCTTGAGGGGATGGACATAGGAGATAAAGACCTAGGTCTGAATCCTCACTATGTCTTTTGTTAGTGATAGCTAATGTTTAATAAGTGCTTTCTAAGGGCCAAAACCCAGTGCTTGCACTTCACATGCACTATCACAGTTAACCTTCACAAATTCACTTTGAGAGTGAATTTTATGAGTGAGGAAATAGGCTTAATATTTGTTTCACTTCCAAGAACACAAGAGGTTACAGAAGTAGGCTCTGACCTAGGTCTAATATTCCGATGCTATGCTGTTTCTGGAACTGACTGAATCTCTCTGAACACTGGCTACTGCATTTGTAAAACATGAATAATTATACCTTTCAGATTTGTTGCAAGCAGTAAATGACAGCAGGAATGAAACGTAACACAGTACCAGGCACATAATGAAGTACTCAATTTGTTACGGTTATTATTAAACACATTAAATACCTATTTTCTCAATACGTGCTTTAGTCTACCATAGTTTACCTCCAAAAAATACATCTGAAAAAAATTATTGTTTGCCACACATCCATTTTGGACACATATCTCTGGAAATTTATCAAGGGGCAGCTTTGCTAGTGATTAATAAGGATTTATATAGCCTCTGCAGGGGCAGAATATAATACAAAATAAATATGATCTGTAAAGCAGCAAAAAAAAAGGAATGAAATATAATGGCAAATTCATAATGAAACATCCCAGCTATCAATCTATAAGCTGGCAGACAAGAAGGATAAATACTCTCATTATGATTTTAGCATGCCCCACTTAGATCTATATGAAATCTATTGTGCACATTCCCCTCACCATTTAGATGTTCCTTTGCCAGATTTGACATGAAAGCATTTCCCAGATTTAGAGGTTTCACTCTGTTGGGGACATTTTGTAGGCAGCAGTGTGGACGCACAGTTACTGGCCCTGGTTGAATGACAAGGAGAGACAGGCAGGAAGGGGCTGTGTATTTATTTCCTTGGGATGCTCCATGCCACCATAGGGATGGACAGCAAACAGTGATTCAGGAACTAGTGATTTAATATAGGCCGTGTATCCACAGTCATTTCCCCTCTTCGACTAACTCCTCTGCTCCCAGAAAGAACAGAAAATGGAGCTAGACTGGAAGATGTCAAATTCACACATGGCTCAGCAAGTAAAAAGTATGGATGCTTTTGAACAAAGTCAAGGAGAACAGAATGGCATATTCACAGGATTGTGAGGAAGAAAGTCTGACAGAGACAGAAGTCCCTTTGGAGGATGTGAGATACAAAGCTGAATTAATTGTGAGGGCCAGATATTGACAGCACTTGGAAGTCAAATATAAAGCCATATTCTACTCTTACATTATCTCACTCAACTTATTTAATCTTCATAAGTTTCCTGTGAAGCAGATGCCATTTCCTCATGTTACAAATGAGGAAACTGACACTTAGGCAAGTTAAATGACATGCCAAAGATCACACACTTTATGAATATCAAAGCTCAAATCATTTTTACCCTGAATCAATTCTCCTGATACAGTAGATACTGGGATGCAATGGAAGGGTTTTTAACTGCTACTGACTTGATGAAAAGAGATACTTGTATAATAAAAATGAAATTGAAGTTTAAACCCAAGTAATTATTTTTAATTGATAGATAAAAAATGATATCATGCACAACATATAGTTTTGAAATATACATTGTGAAATGACCAGATAGAGCTAATTAACATATCCATTACCTTATATACCTGGTTTTTTGTGGTGAGAACACTTAAAGTCTACTTTGTTCGCAATTCAAGAATACAATACATTGTTATTAACTATCATCACTATGTTGTACACCAGGTCTCTTTTTGTTTGTTTTCAGACAATCTCACTCACTCTGTCACCCAGGCTGGAGTGCAGTGGTGCCATCTTGGCTCCCTGCAACCTCTGCCTCCTGGGTTCAAGCAATTCTCCTGCCTCAGTCTCCCAAGTAGCTGGGACTACAGGCACCGCCATTATGCCTGGCTAAGTTTTCTATTTTTAGTAGAGATGGGGTTTCACCATGTTGGTCAGGCTGGTCTCAAACTCCTGACCTCAGGTGATCTGCACACCTTGGTCTCCTGAAGTGCTGGGACTACAGGCATGAGCCACCGCTCCCAGCCTACAACAGGCCTCTGGAAATTATTCCTTCTACCTAACTGAAATTTTGTAGCACTTGACCAACATCTTCCCAACCTTCATCCCCCTCCTTCCAGTAACCTTCCAGTAACCTTCTACTCTCGCTTCTGTGAATTCAACTTTTTTAGATTCCACATATGGGTAAGATCATTTGTCTTTCTGTGCCTGATTGATATATAAAAACTTGTTACTTTTGGATGGAATTACCTACGTAGAACGGCCTTACCTCTACCTGAAGGGAATGAACTAAATCAGTGGTTCTCAGAATTGTTCCAGACCAGCAGCATCCACATCAGCTGGGAACTTTCTGGAAAGGCAAATTTATAAAGACTGCCCCAATCTCCTTAATTAGAAACTCTCTGGGTGGAGCCCACCAATTCGTAGTTTAACAAGCCTTCCAGGTGATTCTAATCATGCTTAAATTTGAGAACTATTGTAACAAGCCAAACTGAATGCACCTTTTGGAAACTTAAAAGAAGTAAAATCAGAGCAAAATGTCCATTTAGAAGACAGGAAAGAAAGATTATCTAAGGCTCAAGAGTAAAATAATTAAGCCCTTTCTACCAGTTTTGTGATCTTCAGCAACTTACTGATCCTCATTTTTTCCTTCAGTTTCCTCATCTCTAAAATGTAAATTTCCTCTAGCTCACTGGGATATTGCAAGGATTAAAGAAAACAGTGCTTGTGTTAATAAGATGTGCGTGCTAAAATTGTGAGCATTCAAAAACATTAGCTATTATATATTTAAGTTAACACCAAAGGCAAAGCTCAACAAAATGCCCAAAGCAATAATTGAACTTAAGAAAACTTACAAATCAGAAGAAAAACCAACCAAATATAAACTAGGAAGAACAGCAAACCAAATGTAAATGAGAACATTTACTAAATGGAAAAAAAAAGTTCCATTTGTGAAGTAATTAACAAGAGAGGTAGTTAATGAAATTGGATTACTATTCCATAGGCCCAACTTCCATTTTGAGGAGGAAGAAGTAAGTGTATCTAGTCCTTAGAGTAAGGCATTCTGGGGATAATATGTGTTCTCTTAATCCGGAAAATCTGGAAAAGTCAAGGCTGGGGAGAAAACAATGAGATAACAAGAAGCCCAAAGCAATACTCCCTTGATTCAAAAAAAAGGCAACCAAGTCAATTTAAAAAACAACTGTTTGACAAAAGAAACATTTCAAAGAGCAAGTCTGGCTACCAGTAAGAAAATGTAAAATAAGCCTAACCAGAATAAAAAGATTAACTTATTTGCCAATTCAAAACCTAATTTCAGGATAATGTAAACCCAAAACCAACTAAATTTTTAAAAATCCATAAGAAATTCTCAAGAAAATATTAAAGATTTAAAAGTCTAATTATGGTAGAGACAGGCTGAAAGAAAATTTCTGTGAATCAAGACCCTCTTAAAAATTCTCGAGTCATTTCAAAAATTAAGCTGATAACTTGAAGACTAAAGCAGAAAGAGGCCCTTGGCAAGGACTTCCAACTCACTTCATTTCATACAAAACCTGCGTTGGTTGGTCTGTCATCTTCCTACCAGAGTAATGGAAATAATTTTCACCATATCCATTTTTTTCCTGTGGTAGTCTATTACTTAGCACATTGTGGAGCACGTCCGCTGAAGATGTACAGATCAACCTGTATGCATCATGTCAAATTCAACCTTTGCAGGCAGATGAAGGAAGAACCATATATATGTGTACATAGACCTTGGCAGTCAGGCAAAGAGAAAACCATCATCTCTCTCCCACCACGTTTTCCCATCTAAAATGTTTTCCTGGACCATCTCCACCCAGACCTTATGAAAGCATGGAGACATTTTATTAACTTTAAAAAATAGAGTCCCCGTTTTGGGATGTTGTGTTTGACCTCTACTAACTCTAATATGGATGGTACTAGGTTCAAGAGGCTGAAGAAGAGACCTGGAGCCAGTGAATGAAACATAGGGTTTATAGAGGGGAACTTACATACACGGTATTCCAGTGGCGGTGGGCCGGACAGGAAAACCACAACTGCTTCTAAAAAACATTCAGTTTATATAGCACTTTCACTTAGCAATCTCCCCCAGCAACCTCCACATGGCAACTTTAATTTCTTAAGTTATTGCTCTCAGGTGGATCTTCCACACATGGGGCAGAGATAAATGGGCTATAGAGTTAGCTTGAAGAACAGGTGGTATAAGAAGTTAATATTTATAGTCAACTATATTGGGTTATCTAAAGACAGGTGTTTTAGATGATGAACTGGTGTGAGCTACTGAAGAGCTGAGTGCCAGTTTCAGCTCACTAATTTGCTACCCAAAACAAGTTAATTCCTGCCTCTGTGCCTATCTCTGCATCTTTAAGTTTGAAAGATTAAACTTATCAGATGTTTCCAAAATTCTTGGACACCACCCCAGAACTTTTAATAAGAATCTCAAGAAATAGGGCCCAACATATCTATTTTCAAAATATCCAGCTCTGGAATAGTTTGCAAATTGCTGGATTAGATGATTGCTAAGGACCATTTTTGTTGCATATGTTTTGTACCTAGCATTGATATTTTATTTACATAAAGAGCAGAGAATATATGGTTTTTAGCCTTAAAAAACTTTAAATATAAATGGAAAGTAGTACTTCTCAGTTGTTCCAGTTATTTATTGCTTAGTAACATACCACACCAAAATTTAATGGCTTAAAATGATACATTAATTTTCTCATGAAGCTGCTATTCAGGCAGGGCTTGGTGGAGACAACTCATCTCTAGCCCACTCATCATCATCTGGGGCAGCTCAAGACTGGTGGCTGGAATCATCTAAAGGCTTGTTCACTAGCATGTTTAGTGATTGATGCTGGATGTCTGATGGAACCTCAGCTAGTGCTGCTGGCTAGTGCATGTGCCTCTCTATATGGTTGCTTAGTTTCTTCAAGGCATTTTGGTTCCAAAGGTGAACATCTTTAGAAAGAAGCAGCAGGATCAGGAAGCCTCGCTGCTTTTGACAACCTGGGGTCACTAGTTCACATTCAGCTGGCACTTCTACTTCCTTCTATTCATGAGGAAATCAAAAGTCCTGTCCAAGTTCAAGGGGTAGGAAAATATACTCTATCTCTTTTTTAACTGCTTTATTGAGGTATAGTTGACAATTTAAAATTACATATATTTAAGATGTACAACCACTTCTCTTGAAGACAGAGTGAAAAGGTCCTGAAAGAGCATGTGGAATGAGAAATATTTCTGGAAAATACAATCTGCCATACCAAGGAATAAAATAGAAGATGTAAGAGGAAGGATAAAGGAGACAGTAAGAAATTGGGCTGGATTGGTACAGTTTACAAGATTATAAAGGAACCTGAAAGTCGGGTGGAAGAGTTTAGATATATTTAGGTAGGAAATTGAGCCATTGAATGGTTTCAAGTAAAGATTTTTCTTAGCAAAAATTCTTATTGAATCATATCCCAATAAGAAGTATATTGTGATTAAAGGTGACCTTTGCAAAGCACTTTAGGGAAAGTACTTCACAGGCCTACAGCACTGAGCTCTAATTCTCCTCTGTGACATTTTCACATTTTCTATAGTTATAAATTTTAGAACGAGGATAATGAAAGCGCTTCGAGGTATTTACTATATGTGACTTGGGTTTTTAGTTCATTATTTTATTTAAGCATCACAAGAGCAATAGGAGATTCATATTATTATTCTCACTTTACAGATGTGGAGACCGAAGCTCATAAGTATTAAATAACTTCCTCAAAGTCAAATATCATCTGATTCATAAAGCTATTATTAAAACCCAAGTCTATCTGATTACAAAGCAAGCACTCTTCTCACTATGTTATATTACATGATCGTATCTCTTTGAAGATGAAAACTATATAGCATGTTTTATGTGAAAATACAAATAATATAGTAATCTCTCAATATATAGGTTTCAATATCAGGTATGGAGAATGGAAGCAACAGTTAAGATTCAGATAATACTCTCTGATTTAAACTTGCAATAAGGACTTTTTGGGAGAAATTGGAATGTTGGTAGCTATATCCCATGATATCACAAAATATCCTCCCCCAGCCACACACAGAAACATACCTAAACAGCACAATAAACATAGTCTCTGAAGAACTGAAAGAAAACCTCAATAAAGTGGGAAAAATTTATGGAGATTTTATGGCCCTTCCTTCTTCCCTTTCTATTTTAAAACATTTATCTATAAGGGTCCAAGGTTTATATTTCTTCTCCCTTGCAGCTGCATATATTGTCCTTATTCTGAGATTTAATCTGAAACCCTAACCCAAAGCCATCCCTGTGACCAGGGGAAAATTGTGAGATTGACAATATAGGTTTTCATACCTCTTAGATTCTAGAGTGTCCTGTATTGATTGAAATAAAAAAGTTTCTGATATTATACTTGTCAGAGGAATTTACATTACAACAAGGGCCTGTTGGTATAAAGAAGAGTAGGATTGCAAACCTAGTGAATGGCTGGAGAGCAAGATCTCTGTGGGCTAGAAAAGAGTGTTCAGCCCCTCCTCCAAATCTATCATGTATACACTAATGCATTAACTTCAAGTCTGACTCAAACCACTTCCATATGTAATTCCTCAAGAAGAGAGCTGTGTGAGACTATGATAATAAGATACTACACTGAAAGGTTTTATATCCTTTACAAAGCACATTCACAAGCATTATCTCAACTAGGTTCACAAATGACATTCTGGGGTAGGTATTATTAGCATCATCTTACAGATAAGAAAACAGAGATGCCAAGAGCTGTTCAAGACCCTAAAGCAAATGGGCAATGTTACCTCTCTAATCTAGCTCCTCTCCTTATGAATCCACTATACGAAGCATCCCACACCCAGGTCTGGGCATTGCTCTCTTGTGCCTGACCATCAGCATAACTCACACTCCCCTCTGGGAGGATACTTATGACAGAGTATAAGTATAAGTAAGACTATTAGAGAATGTGGAAGCTTTACATGAAAGAGTGTGCAGCAGACAGGCAGTGCTAGAAACACTTGCCCTCATAAGTTTTTGGGATACAGCCCTCCGCAATTATCTTAAGGGGTCCAGAATATTTGGGAAAGATGTCATATTACTATCTTTCCCAAATATTCTGGGCCCCTTAAAATAATTGCAGAGGGCTATCTTACAGATTCTACTCTATAGTGGAGAGCATGAAGAACTTTCCAAGACTAGGCCCCACCAAGAGGAAATACTATCCACAGGAGCATGAGGTTCCAAGGCAGGAGTAGCAAAGATTCCCCAACAGGCCACATGTCATGGGTCGCCCCTAGGGTGTCAGGGACGCTTAAAACCTTTTGCTGCCATATCTACAATGTGAGGTTAGTGTGGGTGAGCACCACCATCTCAGGTAAGAATAAACTCCTACTATATATGCCGGGCAGTCTGTCAGCATTCTGATGCATGAACAGGTGAATAAGGAGCTGAATATACAAAAATAGTGTTAAGAAACTTACAGGAAGTCCAGCATGGTGGCTAAAACCAGTGCTGAGATAGATTCTCTACCGCATGGAATATGATATGCCTGCCTTACAAAAGATACATGAAAAGCACTCCTGGAAATATGTAGAAAGGCACCATCAGAAGCAGACATGGGCTTTCCTTTGTTCCTCACACCCAGGCTCTTCGACTCCTAGCCAACAACCCATGCTGGTCCCCCTTGCTGTAGTCAAATCTAGGTACCTTAGTTGTCTTGGCATTTCATGATCTAGTGTGATAAATGGCTGATTTATGATGTGGAACAAAGTTGGGCTTTCACATTTACATATGTTACCTTACGGAAATTTCCCTTCCATCTCATAACTCCAGAGCTGGCATGTGGGTCATTTTCTTTTCCAGTTGGCTTTGTTAAACAGCAGCAAAATGTCTGGGCGTTTGGCCACAGCAGAGGGGCAGGCAATGCTTGACTGAGATAAAGCCTGTTTGACTTGGCACATGTGCCAGAAACCCCTGAGGGCAGTGGGAGGTATGCTTTATCTAATTATTCATGGCCATGCTGCTGAGTGGAATGTGACATTGGCCAAAGGATAAAGATAGCAGCCTCTATCATCTTAGCATAGCCCACCTTGGAAAAGGAAGGCTCAGATTTAGAATACCACCCTCCAAATCTAGAAACATGGTCACCAAAAAATCTTACTTAAACATCTGGGAAGATGAAAACAATATAAGTAGAAATCTTCCCCGGTCACCTTCAGACAGCTTGGATTCAGGGCTCAAGGCCACCTCACTCTCTGACCTTGGAGAAGCCACATAGTCTCACTAAGCCTCCAATTACAACATAATGTGAATGACTTCCTGCAGAGCTTCTCATGAAGAGCTTAGGAGAATAGGAAATTGGGCTTTGGGCTTTTGGAGTGGAAAAATTTTAGGTGGATTATGCTATATTATCATTATAGTAAAATGTATACATGCCTAATTTTTCTGTCATTCATGGCTAGGAGAAATTTTTAAAAGAAGGGCCACATCTCCAGAGTTTCTAAAAGAAATCTAAAGATTTACAAAACCATGGGAATTTCTTTTGTCTAAAGTTGAAGATAAAGTATCTACCTGATTAAACGAGCTCACTGAGGACAAAGACAGATGTAGTCTCATTCACCTCTGTATCTTGAGTGTCTGGCATGTAAGTGTACAGATTAATATTTGTTTTAATGAGTTAATGATGGAGAGAAAAGAATTAAAACTAAACAGATGTGTCTAATCCCATGCCTAGGAAAAAAATAGGTTCTTGATAAGTATTTTGTTTCCCCTTTTCTCCTCCCTTCCTTTTTATCCAACTTTGTCAAAGATACAAAGCTTCTTTCAGGTAGGCATCAAGCATTAAATATCTTTCAATAGTATTAACTTCCTAAGTAGATTTTTCTAATGTTTTCCTCATCTGGCTCTATAATCTTTATTTTGTGAGTACTTTGTTGATGTTCTGTTCTTAAGTGGAGGCAGGGAGGATGGGTAATGGAAAAGTCAGAAAGAATGGCAGGATAGGTCAAATATATCCATACCACTGAGAAACAAAACTCAATATATGACTAATAGAGGGTCAGTCATGTATTATATATATATATATATATATATATATATATATAATCACTTCAATAGAATTCTGTGCTGCATTTAAGAGGAGACAGGAGTGTTTTGAACTTAAGTGGATAGACTGCTAGAATTCCAGAAATATTTGTCAATACTGAACTTAGAATGAAAAAAAAAATGTGCAAGTTAGAGGATGCCTTAGGGATCATTCAGCTCAACACCTTTATTCTACAAATCAAAAAACTAAAGCTCAGGGACATTCAAAGTCCACATAGCTCAGCAGAATCCAGCCATGGGCTTCATCACCTCTGTCTCACCTTTTAAAATTGCATAAATTCCTAGCCCGATGCATTGCTAATGCCAAAATTCAAGAAAGCTGATTTCACGGGGCTTATATATCACTTCACTCAAAAGAAATATTGGACAGAGATGCAGTGGTATTTTTAGTGATTCTTGGGTACAGCAGCCCATTTGGAATCAGCTTTTTTGAATAATAGGGTTGGCAAATGCCACTATGGCCTGATAAAAAGTAGAAGAAGCCAAGGGCCTCATACTGGCTTCAGATTTGAAAGTCAACTCTGATTTTGCAGATCATGTGTAGCAAAGATGATTGACACCTTTCAGTATGGACAACATGTTCAAAGAGGATTTGGGAATCATAAACTTAGCTCTAGTCCTGGCTCTGGTCCTGGTAATCAAGTCACTTAAAGATGTAGACAAGGCTATTCACTGCTCTAAGCACTCATAGGAGTTGGAAGAGACATTTTATAAGTTCCCTTCCATATGTAAGTGTCCATGATCCCATTATACATTTAATTAGCCTGAGAAAAATTTAAGCAGAGAAGCCTTGAGCCATGCAGCGAAGTTAGCTGACACATCAGCTTTACTATGTTTCAGTATACTCAACAAAGCATGTTTTATCTGTAAAATTTTCTCTTCATTACAGTTTCTAAACCCTCACTAACATGTATCAAAACAGAAATGATAATAGACTTTCTAATACCTTCAGGGTAAAAGGGATTTCAAAGCCATTATTTTCAGAGAAAATTGATGAGATTTATACTTTACATTTTAAGCCATATTTTCTATAAGCTCATTTTATTTTATAAAAAGGTTGTTACATGGGCAATGGTGATATTTAATATCTTTAATCTTATACATAAATCAAAGCCTTTGTTCTCTTTATAGGTTTTATATTGTCTCTAAGCTTCTGCCTAAAATACATTCAACAGGGTCCAGTTATAATCTTCACCAGAAGTACACAAACAGATCAATAAAGACCTTGGGAAGACTCAATTGGGATACCTTGGCACCATCAGTTCTGGTTGCCTATTTGACTGAATCCATTTCCTGCTTCTGCATCCTTACACTGGTAAACATCCAAAATGGTTAAGATCTAAAATACCAACAGAGTAAATGTAACTATAATCAGCTGTTTTTATTAATGATTTCTTCAAGAACATAACACAGTCCAATAAACATGGAGTTGTTCAATGTGGTTGTTCTAAAAGCAGCTAATAGCAGGATGTAATTTGAAGCAGCTTCGGCTCACTTACAGAACCCTTGCTCTGTTAATTGTGATTTCACACCCCACTAAACAGCACAGCCTGGAGCTAACGTTTGCGCAGGGAACAGTTAGTATTCTGTAGTTCAGTTCTCTCCACTGTTGTTCCTCCTGTCTCCCTGTGGTTAACTTCTTCTTTTTTTAAAAGCTTAGTAGACTGAAGTTGTTCCCTTTCACAAGGAAACATTCTTTTTTTCCCTTCACCTGGCAGGAGACAGCCTGTGGATATACCTATTATTTCGCTTTTTGCTTTTGTTTTAATCTTTCACCTTTTCACCATTGTTCTCAGAGCATACACTTTATGTTTCCTACAGCTGACCATCAATCCCTGTTATTAAACAATGGAATATATATATTTTTTGTTTTGGCTCATCCACACTAGTACCCTTGACTCTTTATTTAACTAACCATCCCCCTCAGGAAGTAAGAATATTGTCTAATGAAAGGAAAACGGCTGCAGGAATTCGAAGTCATTTGGAGGCAAGTAACAAGTCTCTGACTAGAAGAAAAATATATATTGGAAGAACCAAGCACAATATGTTACATCCACAGATGTTCCCAAAGAGGCACCACATGCAGACTAGATTTCATTCAGGGGAAGAGCTTTTAAATACATTTTAGGCAAGACCCTAAAATAGAAATACCTGAATAATCCCCTTCCCCAGGGACTCCGATATTTCGTAAGAAAATTAAGAAGATCAAGGGTCAGCCTGGATGATACCGGAGGCTTTCTTACTAAAACATTTTATAATCTATAAATACTCATATTTTAAAAACAAAAATTTAGTTACAGTGCAGGGGAGAGTGGCTATTTAGAGAATGGAGCAGTGGGACTATTACATTAAAAGGTATACTGTGAAATTTTTCATAGAATAGGGCTACTGTCCTGTTGTTCACTGATGGTCATGAAATTAACTCAAAGTCCTCAAAAGAATACTTATCTTCTCCTTTTGGCTTACCCATGTCGAAGATAGTGTCATTGTTCTTGACATTCCATATGTTAATCCTCCGCAGTTAATAATAGTGAATTCCAAGACAGAGGTCCAGAGTAAGTGCTGAAGAAGAATTTGTTTAAATCAATACCCAAAGATCATTCAAAACACACCCAGATGCTAACACCTTAGTTAGATATTTTATGCAAAGTTGAGGCAACATTAGTAATATTGAAAGAAACTTTTGTGCTCATTCTTTGTACAGCTTAAAATAACATATAAGGTGATATTTCACATGTAAAAAATCAGGGCTTATTTTCTAATTCTTACTACTGGCATAGTTTTTCTAGCTAATAAAAATAGCTTTTAAACAAAATCTGCTTTTCCC